>NW_003315905.1:0-182439 GCF_000001405.40 Homo sapiens | reverse complement strand
GAATTCAAATTGCCTCTGGTATTTTTAGTCTGATTATGAGAATAATCTGGTAAATACTTGGTTTATATATGTGCTAGTGTTTTTATATGTTATTCTTATGGCAGACAATAATTGATTAAAAGTCTTTACTTATGTAACAGAATGTTCCACGTCATCACCATCGGTAAAATGTAGTTGGCATTGGAATTGAAAGCCACTTACCATCCTTGGTGTGGTAGAAGGGGAGTGTCCTGGTCATTAGAATTAGATGTAGATTTTTTTTTAAATTATTTGTTTTTGAGATGGAGTCTCACTCTGTCACCTAGGCTGGAGTGCAGTGGCACGATCTCAGCTCACTGCAACCTCCGCCTCCCATGTTCAAGCGATTCTCCTGCCTCAGCCTCTTAAGTAGGTGGGACTACAGGCACGTGCTACCACGTCCAGAAAATTTTTGTATTTTTTAGTAGAGACGGGGTTTCACCATGTTGGCCAGGCTGGTCTCGAACTCCTGACTTCAGGTGATCCACCCGCCTTGGCCTACCATAGTGCTGGGATTATAGGCGTGAGCCACTGTGCCTGGCCAGAATTAGACGTAGATTTTAATCATGACTTTCCTATTTGTTGTGTTTCTTGGACAGGTTTATACTAAATAAGAAATTATGTAGTATACTAAATAATACTATTTTTTTTGAAATGGAGTGTCTCTCTGTCACCCAGGCTGGAGTGCAGTGGCGGGATCTCGGCTTACCGCAACCTCCGCCTCCCAGGTTCAAGCAATTCTCCTGTCACAGCCTCCCAAATAGCTGGGACTACAGGCACACGCCACTGTGCCCAGCTGATTTTTTGTGTTTTTAGTGGAGACAGGGTTTCACTATGTTGACCTGGCTGGTCTCGAACTCCTGACCTCAAGTGATCCGCCCACCTCAGCCACCCAAAGTGTTGGGATTACAGGCATGAGCCACTGTGCCTGGCTGTATTTAGTATTTCTGAGTCTCAGTTTTTTCATTCATAGAATGGGTATAATATGGACTTCATAGGAATGTTCTGAGAATTAGATACTTGGTTTTTTGTTGTTGCTTTCTTTCTTTCCTTTTCCTCCCTCCCTCTCTTTCATCTCTTTCTTTTCTTCTTCTCTTTCTTTCTTTCACAGGGTTTTGCTTTGTCACCCAAGCTAGACTGCAGTGGCACAATCATAGCTCACTGAAGCCTCGACCTCCTAGGTTTAATTGATCCTCCTGTCTCAGCATTCCAAGTAGCTGGGACTATAGGCATGCGCCATTGTACTCAGCTAATTTTTAAATTTTTTGTAGAGACAAGGTCTCCCTATATTGCCCAGGTTGGTCTAGCATTTCTGAGCTTAGGCTCTCCTCCCGCCTCCACCTCCCAAAGTGCTGAAATTACACATGTGAACCTAAATACTGTTTTTTTGGTTCTTAGCTCTCACCATTCCGATAATCAGCATTCATTCAGATGTTAATCCTTCTCCTGTATCCCCTCTCACCAAGCCCCCAATACATACCTTGTTACTTGTCTTCCTTTTGGAGTGCACTTTCTCCCAACTGTCCTCAGACTTGTGTGATGAATGTATCACTTACAACATGTTTTGTCTGGGAAGAAGAGGCTCTCAAGTATGTGTGTGTGTACAAATTTGAGATCATGCTTTTCAGAGCATTGTGAAGGATCTCTGTTCAAAACTCTGCTCCCCTAGTGCCTATTATTATTACTTCCATGGTATAAAGGATAAAAAGAATTTTTTGTTTTTCTTTCATATAAAAAATATTCCTAAGGAAAGCCTACATCCGTTCTACTTTGCATGAAGAAAAACAGGATTTTTAGGCCGGGCGTGGTGGCTCATAACCTGTAATCCCAGCACTTTGTGAGATCGAGGCAGGTGGATCACAAGGTCAAGAGATCAAGGCCATCCTGGCCAACATGGTGAAACCTTGTCTCTACTAAAAATACAAAAAAATTACCCAGGCATTGTGGCACGTGCCTGTAGTCCCAGCTACTCAGGAGGCTGAGGCAGGAGAATTGCTTGAACTTGGGAGGCGGAGGTTGCACTGAGCCAAGATCGCACAGCTGCACTCCAGCCTGAAGACAGAGCGAGACTCTGTCTTGGAAAAAAAAAAGAAAAACAGAATTTTTATAGATGAGTACTGGAGAAGGTTGGAAAAATGTAGCTAACTCCTATTCCTTTATTTAATTATGTACTTAGATTGCTTACTTTCCTGTTGTTTTTTTTTTTTTCTTATTTCTTTCTTTTGAGACGGAGGTTCACTGTCGTCACCCAGGCTGGAGTGCATTGGTGTGATCTTGGCTCACTGCAACCTCCACCTCCTGGGTTCAAGTGATTCTCCTGCCTCAGCCTCCCAATTAGCTTGGATTACAGGCATGCACCACCACGCCCAGCTAATTTTTGTATTTTTAGAATTTTGCATTTTTAGTAGAGACAGTTCAAGACCATTTTGCCAGGCTGGTCTTGAACTCCTGACCTCAGGTGATCCACCCGCCTCGGCCCCCCAAACTGTTGGGGTCACAGGCGTGAGCCACCGTGCTCGGCCACTTTCCTGTTTTTCTTTGTGAAAGTTTGGAGCAGTCATTCTTACAGTGCCTAGTAATAACCAGGAGAGAGTAGTAAAAATGCAGATTCCTTAGCCCCACCCAAATAAATTTAATGTCATGAAATAGGGCCTGGGAAGCTGCATTTTAATTTATTTTTTTCTCTTAAAAAAAGTATGCCAGGCGCAGTGCCTCATGCCTATAATCCCAGCACTTTGGGAGGCCGAGGTGGGCAGATCACCTGAGGTCGGGAGTTTGAGATCAGCCTGACCAACATGAAGAAACCCTGTCTCTACTAAAAATACAAAATTAGCCGGGTATGGTGGCGCATGCCTGTAATCCCAGCTACTTGGGAGGCTGAGGCAGGAGAATTGCTTGAACCCGGGAGGTGGAGGTTGTGGTGAGCTGAGATTGCACCATTGCACTCCAGCCTGGGCAACAAGAGCAAAACTCCATTTCAAAAAAAAAAAAAAAAGAAATAAAGTAGAGATTGGCCAGGCGCAGTGGCAAATTAACGCTTTTTCTAAATACTCTCAATTTCTGTGCTTATCTTTTTGCAGTTCATGGAACTGCAGTGGTCAGTGGCCCACACTTTGAGTAACATTGCTCTTCAGAAAATAAAAATGATTGTGTGTGGAAACTGGCAAGCTGGAAGCTAGTTTCTTCTACAAGCCCCAAGAAGACTGATTTTTTCGTCTATAAAATTGAGACAGTTTTACTGCTTTGCTCATCTTTATAGGGATGTTATGAGGATCACATAAGATATAATGTATGTAAAGGCTGGGAGTGATGGCTCATGCCTGTAATCCTGGCACTTTGGGAGGTTGAGGCGGGCGGATCACCTGAGGTCAGAAGTTCGAGACCAGTCTGGCCAACATGGTGAAACCCCGTCTCTACTAAAAATAAAAAAATTAGCTGGGTGTGACGGCATGAGCCTGTAACGTCAGGTACTCAGGAGGCTGAGGCAGGAGAATTGCTTGAACCTGGGAGGTGGAGTTTGCAGTGAGCTGAGATCACGCCGCTGCACTCCATCCTGGGTGACAGAGCAAGACTCAGTCTAAAAAAAAAAAAAAAAAAAAAAAGGATATAATGTATGTAAAATACGTTGTAAACTGAAAAACTAATGTAAGTTATATTCTTCACATTTCTTGAGCAGGTACTCTTTTAGCAACTAGGTATATAGAGATACATGGCAGGGAGCTTATTATTCACATGTATATTAGCCACAAGGTTGCAGTATGCGGAATTGTTTCTGTATCCTAAAAATTTTCCTAGACTTGTGCAGTCCTTCTCTAAACTTTAGTGATATGCATATATATATATACACATATATATACATATATACATATACGTACATACATATATACATATACATATATATACATATGTGTATATATATATATATTTTTTTTTTTTTTTGAAATGGAGTCTCGCTCTGTTGCCCAGGCTGGAGTGCAGTGGTGTGATCTCAGCTCACTGAAACCTCTGCCTCCTGGGTTCAAGTGATTCTTCTGCCTCGACCTCCAAGTAGCTGGGACTACAGGCGTGCACCACCACGCCCGGCTAATTTTTTTTTTTTTTAGTAGAGATGGAGTTTCACCATATTGGCCAGGCTGGTCTCGAACTCCTAACCTCGTGATCCTCCCATCAATCCCAAAGTGTTGAGATTACAGGCATGAGCCACTGTGTCCGGCCGTATTTTTTAAATATATAACTTAATGATGTTTCTTTGAAATGTCTGAGAACCTTTTTTTCCTCTTTTTTTATGTATATATTTCTGATTTTTAAAATAAATAGAGATGGCCCGGGGTGGGAGGCACAGTGGCTCACTATGTTGCCCAGGCTGGTCTTGAACTCCTGGCCTTAAGTGATCCTCCTGCGTTGGCCTTCCAGAGTGCTAGGGTTACAGGCATGAGCCACCAACCTGGGCCTATTTTTACTTTTCTGACAAGTTCTTGAAGGTTATAATATATATATTTTTAATGGATTAGAAGCAATTTGGAGGCAGGCGTCCTTCTCAGTTAAAGTTCTGAGACTCCTTGTATATGGATCCGTTTCTGTTAATCTTAGATTACCCTTTCTTCCGACTTACTCTCAGCTTGAAGTTTGCTGCCTGAAGTAACTCCACACACTTTCTCTCCTCTGCCTAGCTCCTCTTTTTAGAGTATGTTTGCAGGAGACAGAGACCTTTAAAGCCAGTTCATTCAACAAGAAATGTTTTGAGTGCCTGTTATATACTGGTTAGGTGAAAAAGTTAAGAAAATGGGCTGGGCCCCGTGGTTTATGACTTGGAGGCCACGATGGGAGGATCACTTAAGGTCAGGAGTTCAAGAGCAGCCTCAGCAACATAGCAAGACCTGTCTCTACCAAAAATTAGCCATGTGTGGTAGCATGCACCTGTAGTACCAGCTACTTGGGAGGCTGAGTCCAGAGGATCACTTGAGTCCAGGAGTTGGAGATTGCAGTGAACTATGATTGTGCCACGGCACTCCAGCCTGGGTGACAGAAAGAGACCCTGTCTCTCAAAAATAATTTTTTTTAAGTAGATAAGAAAATGAATTTTAACTACCAGTGGCAGTGAGTCGTGCCTGGAATCTTAATGTTTTGGGAGGCCAAGGTGGGAGGATCACCTGAAGCTGGGAGTTTGAGACCAGCCTGGGCAACATAGCAAGACCCAATCTCTGCAAAAAATTTTAAAGTTAGCTGGTTGAGGTGGCACGCACCTGTAGTCCTAGCTCTTCGGGAAGCTAAGGTGGGAGGATTGCCTAACCCTAGGAGTTCAAGGTTACAGGAAGTTTTGATTGCACCACTGCACTCCAGCCTAGGTGACAGAGTGAGGCCCTGTCTTTTGGAAGAAAAAGGAAAGAAAATAGTTTAACTACATACCATTCATGACTTCTGGGTGCTCACAGTTTTCTAAGGGAAATGGACAAGTAATTCAGTAATAAGACACAGAAAATGACATGTTTCCAAAATTCCTTGACAGGCCGAGTGCAAGTGGCTCACACCTGTAATCCCAGCACTTTGGGAGGCCAAGGCAGGTGGATTACTTGAGGTCAGGAGTTCGAGACCAGCCTGGCCAACATGGTGGAACCTTGTCTCTACTGAAAATACAAAAATTAGCTGGGCGTGGTGGCCACACCTGTAATCCCAGCTACTTGGGAGACTGAGGCAGGAGAATCGCTTGAACCTGGGGCAGAGGTTCCAGTGAGCTGAGATCGCGCCAGTGCACTCCAGTCTGGGCAACAGAGCAAGGCTCTGTCTCAAAAAAAAAAAAAAAAAAAAAAAAAAAAGAAAAGAAAAGAAAATTCCTTGACAGCACAAAGAAAGGAAAAATTGCCTGGAGGAATGGAGATAGGGATGACCATATAATTTACCCTCCAAACTAGGACGCTATTAAAGGTGAAAGGAACATTGTTAATCATCATGAGAGAATAAACTGGGACATGTTCTATACAAACTAGGACATATTATTACTCTATTCATAAAAGTAATGTCTATGGTCTTTTTTTTTTTTTATTATTTTTTTTTGAGATGGAGTCTCACTCTGTTACCCAGGCTGGAGTGGAGTGGTGCAGTCTCAGCTCACTGCAGCCTCCACCTCCTGGGTTCAAGCGATTCTCCTGTCTCAGCCTCCCGAGCAGCTGGGATTACAGGCTCGTGCCACTACACCTGGCTAATTTTTGTATTTTTAGTAGAGACAGGGTTTCACTGTGTTGGCCAGGCTGGTCTCGAACTCCTGACCTCAGGTGATCCACCCACCTGGGTCTCCCAAAGTGCCGGGGTTATAGGCATGAGCCGCCTCGCCTCGCCTTGCATGGTCTTTTTTTTTTTTTGAGGTGAAGTCTTGCAGCCACCCAGGCTGGAGTGCAGTGGTGGAATCATGGCTCACTACAGACTAGATCCCCCAGGCTCAAGCAATCCTCCCACCCCAGCCTCCTGAGTAGCTGGAACAACAGGCACACTCCACCACACCTGCCTGATTTCTATTTGTATTTTTAGTGGAAATGGAATCTTGCTATGTTGCCCAGGCTGGTCTTGGACTCTTGAGCTCAATCATCCTACATACCTCGGCCTCCCAAAGTGCTGGGAGCCACTGCACCCTATATAGTCTTAAAGTACCACCCTCCGTCTTGGATTTAGCACTTCATCTGTACCTTTTTACTGTTGCTTGCACAGGCTAAATGCTATCCTGTCTCAAGCAACATCCTTGCTGTGACCTCTACTTGTTACCTCCTCTCCCAGATATTTGCACAGTTCACTTCTGCCCTTAATTCAGGACTTGCTCAAATGTTATTTTTTCTGACAGGACTTTCCTGACCATACTTTTAAGAATAGTCTCTTCCCCTACCCTAACACCACTCTCTGACCCCTTTTCATGTCTAATTTTTTTAATGATACTTACAAATACATAACATACATATATACCCACATACATATGCAATTTGATTGTTTCTCTTTTCTTTTTTGGAGATAGGGTCTTGCCTTGTCACCTAGGCTGGAGTGTAGTGATACAGTCATGGCTCACTTCAGCCTTTACATAGACCCAAGTGATCCTCACGCCTCAGCCTCCTGAGTAGCCGGGGCTTTGTTTATGAGACATGGTCTCGCTCTGTTCCCCAGGCTGGAATGCAATGGCATGATCTCGGCTCACTGCAGCCTTGACCTCCTGAGCTCAAGCGATCCTCCCACCTCAGCCTCCTGGGTAGCTGGGACCGCAGGTGCATGCCACCATCCTGGGCTAATTTTTCTATTTTTTGTAGAGATGGGGCTTTGCCATGTTGCCTAGGCTGGTCTTGAACTCGTGTTTTTTGTAGACATGGGGTTTTGCCATGTTGCCCAGGCTGATCTTGAACTCTTGCCCACCTTGGCCTCCCAAAGTGCTGGGATTACAGGTGTAAGCCACCATGCCCCCAGCCTGATTTCTGGATTTTTAACTCAATAAAGGGAATGATGATGTCTTTATTATAAATATGGACTATAAGAAGAGAAATAAGTTAGATTGGAAGGAAGGATATCCCGTCACTCTCCCATAACTCACCAGGCAGAAGAAAGAACAACCTTATAGGAAGGGGGAAGAATTCAGAACTATCTAGTTTGAGACCTTGATCCTATTCTTGAAGTCAGCCACATTTTAACATTCTTGTTACTGGGCCTCTTCTCTATTTGAGAGCAATTGCATCTCCAGATTTCTCCAGTTACTATATTATCCTTGAATTCACTGTCAAATTATTTGTATTTCTTACAATACTAGGTAGGTGCTTCAAAACTGAATGATTTCAAAAGAATCTTCACTTGACCTCTTCAATGAGATGGAAGTTCTTATTGCTTCCAGCCTTCAGAAAGAAGGTCTTGTTGGATTATCTAATTCAGAGTTTTAAAAAACATTACGTAGGGGTAAACAGGTCTTGGACCTCTGGCTGATTGATGTCTCCTGTGGCAGAAGGCAAACTACAAAGGAGCTCTTCTTCACATGTAAGAATGGATGATGATTTCAGCGCTTCTTGATTATAAATATCTTAAGGACTCATGTTCCAGGACCATTCCAGAGACATCTCTCTCTCCTTTTTTACCTCCCACTTTCTAACTTGATAAGGGGACTATAGTGAATATAGTGACTAAGTTTTACATATTTTATCAATGTGAAAAGTTTATCAGGTGCCACTAATTTAATTAGTGCCTACAGTAGAAAAGGGCATCCGTTTTCTATGAAGGGACACTATATCAAAGGCAAGTTATAATTACACACACACACATTTGAGAGTCTCCCTCTGTCGCCCAGGCTAGAGTGCAGTGGCGCGATCTTGGCTCACTGCAACCTCCGCCTCCCGGGTTCAAGCGATTTTCCTGCCTCAGCCTCCCGAGTAGCTGGGACTCCAAGTGCGCACCACCACACCCAGCTAAATTTTGTATTTTTGGTGGAGACAGGGTTTCACTATGTTGGCCAGGCTGGTCTCAAACTCCTGACCTCAGGTGATCCGCCTGCCTTGGCCTCCTAAAGTGCTGGGCATTGCTGGTGTGAGCCACTGCGCCCGGCCAATTTATATATATATATATATATATGCATATGCATATGTATATTTAAGTTATGCTTTATAAGGAATTATAAAGCATACTGTTTATTCCTTTTTACATACAAAAGGAAGACATAGTAGTCCAGGTTTCTTATCTGATATGTTTTTTCCCCAAGGCAAATAGGGCTGTGATGATTAACATAATCATTTCAGTCTTCAGATGAAACCCTATCATCTGCATGCAAAAAGGAATTTAATCCCTTACAAGCCAACAAGTAACCATATCCATAGTATCTGGAGGGCTAGGCTACTTGCATTTCATACTGCTCAATTAAATGTCATGGACTGTCCATGTTCTGCCACATTACTTTCCAGTTCTGAGTGGTCAAGTTAAAGGCATTCTTTTTTCTTTCTTTCTTTTTTTTGGTTAGTTGGTTTATTTATTAGAGATGGGGGTCTCGCTATGTTGCCCAGATCTTGAACTCTTGGCCTCAAGTGATCCTTCCACCTCAGTTTCCCAAAGTGCTGGGATTACAGGTGTGTGCTACCGTGCTCAGTAGACATTTTTAGAAAAAGGAATCCATTGTGTTCAGCTTATTTGTTTTAATTTTTTTAATCTTAAAGTTTTAAATGTTTTTAGTTTTTAAATTTTAAATTGAAAATATTTAAGCATATAGAAAAATAGAGTAGTACGAGCAACAGCTGTGTAACTACCATCTTGTTCAGCAGTGAATATTTTGCCATATTTGCTTGGCACATACCAATATGCTGTTGATATATAGCATAAACATTTTTTCTAAACCACTTCAAAGTAAGTTTTAGACTTTCACCTCTAAATACTTAAGATTGCTGTGGTAGGCAAAATAATGCCCCTTCTCCCAAGATGTCTATACTCCAGCCCCCATAACCTGTGAATATGTTCCGTTTCATGGCAACAGAGAATTAAGATGGCAGATGGAATTAAGGTTGCTAATCAGTTGACCTTAAAATGTGGAAATTATTCTAGATTATCCAGGTGGGCCAATATAATCATAAGGGTCCTAAAGGAGGCAGAAGAGTGTCAAAGAGTTGGCAGTCAGAGGAGTAGGCCTGATACTTGAAGATGAGGAAAGTGGCCATGAACCCAGCAGAGTAGATTGTCTGTAGCAGGGAACAGCAGGACAATGGATTTTCCTCTAGAGACTCCAGAAGAAATGTAGGAGCTGACTGGGCACGGTGACTCATGCCTGTAATCCCAGCACTTTGGGAGGCCAAGGCGGATGAATCAGTTGAGGCCAGGAGTTCGAGACCAGCCTGGGCAACATGGCAAAAACCCATCTTTACAAAAAATACAAAAATTAGCTGGGCGTGGTGATGCGCACCTGTAGTCCCAGCTACTCCCAGTCCCAGAGGCTGAGGTGGGAGAATCGCTTGAGCTGCAGGAGGCAGAGGTTGCAGTGAGCCGAGATCATGCCACTGTACTCCAGCCCAGGTGACAGAGCCAGACCCTGTGTAAAAAAAAAATATATAAAATAAGTAGGAGCCATACTCATACCTTGAATTTAGCCTAATTAGACCCATTTTAGACTTAATGACTTTCTGAATGAAAGGTAATACAATTTGTATTGTGTTTAAGCCACTAAATTTGTGGTAATTTATTATAGCAGCCATAGAAAACTAATAGTAGGCTGGGCTCACGCCCGTAATCCCAGCACTTTGGGAGGGGGAAGGTGGGTGGATCACTAGAGGTCAGGAGTTTGAGACCTGCCTGGCCAACATAGGAAAACCCTGTCTCTACTAAAAATACAAAAATTAGCCGGGCGTGGGGACACCTGTCTGTAATCCCAGCTACTCGGGAGGCTGAGGTGAGAGAATCACTTGAGCCCAGGAGGCAGAAGTTACAGTGAGCTGAGATCTTGCACTCCAGTCTGGGCAACAGAGCAAGACTCTGTCTCAAAAACAACAACAACAAAAAAAAAAAACAAAAAGAAAGCTAATGCTACAGTTACGTTTCAAAAAAATACGGACAATCTCCTATTCAACCACAATACCATTATAACCAACAAGATTAATAATAATTCCCTAATATTATTTAATACTTAGTCCATTTGAAAATTTACCCAGTTCCCCATAGTATCTTTTGTAGCTGTGTTTAAACCAAGATTCAATCAAAGATTATACATTATATTTGATTATGTCTGTAAGTCTCTCTTAACCTAGAACAGTCTGTATCACCACCTCTTTTTTTTTATATCAACTTTTTTGAAGAGACCGTGCTCATTGATTTGAAATATGTTCCACATTGTAGATTTGTCAGATTGTTTCCATGTTAATTGTCTCAATGCCTGCAGTGAAAAGTTTGATCCCTACGGTAAGGTAACAGCAAGATTGTTCCATTGTTAAGATGTGTTTTTCCTTTTGCAATTAGTCGTCTGTGGAGTTATTTTGTTTATATGAACTGAACTAGTTCTTATGAAAATAAATGTTAAATTTCCAGACCAGCATATTTTATAATGGCAGTATAATAGACTATATAACCTAAAACACTTCTGCTATTTCATTACAAAACACCTAGTAATGCTGGATGAAATGTAACAACTATTTTTTAATTTTTAAACAAACTTTTAAAAATGTATAGCTAGTTGAGCCTGAAAGAATTAAGGAAAATTCTCAGGGACTGCAAATGAAAGAGGAACTGAAAATGAGCAGTATGCATGTTACTTAATGCTGTGGTATTTCTGGGTGCTTTGCCTAGTCTCAGTTACTGAAAGGCTTGGTTTTTGTTTGTTTGTTTGTTTGTTTTTTGAGACGGAGTCTTGCTCTGTCGCCCAGGCTGGAGTGCAGTGGCAAGATCTCGGCTCACTGCAAGCTCCACCTCCCGGGTTCACACCATTCTCCTCTCTCAGCCTCCCGAGTAGCTGGGACTACAGGTGCCCACCACCAAGCCCAGCTAATTTTTTTGTATTTTTAGTAGAGACGGGGTTTTACCATGTTAGCCAGGACGGTCTCGATCTCCTGACCTCACGATCCGCCCGTTTCAGCCTCCCAAAGTGCTGGGATTACAGGTGTGAGCCACCGTGCCTGGCCTAAAGGCTTCGTTTTAATGTCCATGAGCCTTAGGCCTGTATGGAACAGAGTTAGAAATGCAAATCTCTATATAAAGCAGGGAGCCTTGAAGGTTCATACTCAAGAGAAAGGAAGGGACCACAGAAAATTCCATCTACTAGTTTGAGGAAACAAGGAAACTTCTGTGTCTCAGCTTGGGCTCTGGCTGGGGGTAGATGGGAATGTCTCCTGAAAATTTATGTTTGGACTCAAGAATATACAATAAGGAAAGGATCAATAGGGCAAGGATAGTCCCTCCAACAAATGTTGTTGGGAAAAGTGGATATCCACAGCAAAATAATGAAATTATCTTGTACTGTACACAAAAATCAACCCAAAATGGATTAAAGAGTTAAACATAAGACCTGAAACTATAAAACTCATAAGAAGAAAACAGGGAAAAAGCATTATGACATTGGTCTTGGCAATGATTTCGTGGATATGACATCAAAAACACAGGCAACAAAAGCAAGTGGAACTGCATCAACCTAAAAAGCTTCTGCACAGCAAACAGCAGAATGGAAAGGCAATCTACAAAATGTGAGGAAATGTTTGTGAACCATATATTTGATAAGGGGTTAATCTCCAACATATGTAAGGAACTCATACAACTCAGTAGCAAAAAATATATGTATATTAAAAAATAGGCGCTTCACTGCCGTCCGTTGATTTATTTCTCCAGGAAGAAAAATGGCATCTGTTGCAGTTGATCCACAACTGAGTGTGATGACTCGGGTGGTCAACCTGCCCTTGATGAGCTCCACATATGACCCCATGTCCTCAGCCCATGTCAGTACAAAGGACCAGTGTCCTACTTGAAGTCTGTGTGTGAGATGGCAGGGAAGGGTGTGAAGACCATCACCTCGGTGGCCATGACCAGTGTGCTCTGCCCATCATCCAGAAGCTAGAGCTGCAAATTGCAGTTGCCAATATCCGTGTCTGTAAGGGGCTAGACAGGATTGAGGAGAGACTGCCTATTCTGAATCAGCCATCAACTCAGGTTGTTGCCAATGCCAAAGGTGCTGTGACTGGGGCAAAAGATGCTGTGACGACTACTGTGACTGGGGCCAAGGATTCATCACAGGGTTGATGGACAAGACCAAAGGGGTAGTGACTGGCACTGTGGAGAAGACCCAAGTCTGTGTCAGTGGCAGCATTAACACAAGCTTAGGAAGTCAGATAATGCAGCTCATGAGCAGTGGCTTGGAACATGCGCTCACCAAATCAGAGCTCTTGGTAGGACAGTACCTCCCTCTCACTGGGGAAGAACTAGAAAAAGAAGCAAAAAAAGTTGAAGGATATGATATGGTTCAGAAGCCAAGTTGTTATGTTAGACTGGGATCCCTGTCTACCAAGCTTCACTCCCTGTCTACCAAGCTTCACTTCGTATGAGCAGGCTCTCAGCAGGGTTAAAGAAGCTAAGCAAAAAAGCCAAGAGACCATTTCTCAGCTCCGTTCTTCTGTTCACTTGATTGAATTTGCCAGGAAGAGTGTGCATAGTGCCAATCAGAAAATTCAGGATGCTCAGGATAAGCTCTAGCTCTCATGGGTGGAGTGGAAAAGGAATATTGGATACGATGATACTGATGAGTCCCACTGTGCAGAGCACATCGAGTCACGTACTCTTGCTATTGCCTGCAACCTGACTTAGCAGCTCCAGACCACATGCCACGGCCTTCTGTCCAACATCCATGATGACCACAGAACATCCAAGGTCAGGCCAAGCATATGAGGGTGATGGCAGGCGACATCTACTCAGTGTTCTGCAATGCTGCCTCCTTTGAGGAAGTGTCTGACAGCCTCCACTTCTAGCAAGGGGCAGCTGCAGAAAATGAAGGAATCTTTAGATGACTTGATGGATTTCTTGTTAACAACATGCCCCTCAACTGGCTGGTAGGTCCCTTTCACCCTCAACTGACTGAGTCTCAGAATGCTTAGGACCAAAGTGCAGAGATGGACAAGAGCAGCCAGGAGGCCCAGCGATCTGAGCACAAAACTCATTAAACTTGCCCCTGTCACCAGTGAATGATGCGGCCAGCCAGTTAACACCTTTCGTTATGTTGAAATTAACCCTGCTAGGCAACCCTAAATTGGGAAGCAAGTAGCTAGTAAAAAGGCCCTCAATTATAGTTATTTCCAGCTGGATTAAGAGCTTTAAAGTTTCTGGCTTTAGCAGATGATTTCTGTTCACCTGGTAAGAAAAGAATGCTAGGCTTGTTAGAGCCTAGCCAGAACTCACAAAAAATTCAAGTGCACTTATGTTCTCATTCTGTGGCCATTGTGTTACCCTCTGTTACTGTTTGTGTTGAATAAAAACATCTTCATGCGGGCTGGGGTAGAAACTGGTGTCTGCTCTGGTATGATCTGAGCAGGCCTCTTTACTGATTTATCTCATGATGATTGCTTGTACAACTTGATTTTAGTTTTTTATTTCTCAAATAGGAATACTACCTTTGAATTCAATATAATTCACTGTAAGATTAAAAAAAAAATGGACAAAGGACCTGAATAGACATTCTCCAAAGAAGACATAAAAGTGGCCAAGTATATGAAAAATTGCTCAACATTGCTAATCATCAGAGAAGTACACATCAAAACCACAATGAAATATCATCACTTCACACCTGTCAATGTCAAGATGGCTATTTTTTTTAAGTGGCAAGGGAGTGAAGAAATTGGAACCCTTGCACACTGTTGGTGGGAATGCAAAATGGTACAAGCGGCCACTATGGAAAACAGTATGGAGGTTCCTTGACATATTAAATATAGAACTACCAGATGGTCTAGCAATCATGCTTCTAGATATTTATCCAAAATAAAATCAGGATCCCAAAGAGTGACAACATGGATGAAGCTTGAGGACATTATGCTAAGGGAAATAATACAGTCACAGAAAGATAAATAACTATGTGAGTCTACTTATGTGAGGTATCTAGTCAGATTCATAGGTTGACAGAGTCAAATGGTGGTTGCCAAAGGCTGAGGGGGAGGAGAAATTGGGGAGTTGCTAAACAATGTATGTAAAATTAATGTCAAACGGGAAAAAGCTCTAGAGATCTGCCATACAACACTGTACCTATAGTCAACATTAATGTATTGTACACTTGAAAATTTGTTAAGAGGGTAGATCTTGTGTTAAGTGTTTTTACCACAATAAAACAAAAAAAAACTTTTTTTTTTTTGAGGTGGAGTCTTGCTCTGTCACCCAGGCTGTAGTGTAGTGGCGCGTTCCCGGCTCACTGCAACCTCCGCCTCCTAGGTTCAAGCGATTCTCCTGCCGCAGCCTCCTGAGTAGCTGAGATTATAGGCGCACACCACCACGCCTGGCTAATTTTTGTTTATTTAGTAGAGACGAAGTTTCACTATGTTGGCCAGGCTGGTCTCAAACTCCTTCACCTCAAGCAATCCGCCTGCGTAGGCCTCCCAAAGTGCTGGGATTACAGGTGTGAGCCACCGCACCTGGCCAACAAACAATTTTTTAAAAATTAAGTATGGGCTTATTAGGCTGAGCGCAGTGGCTCACACCTGTAATCCCAGCATTTTGGGAGGCTGATGTGGGCGGATCACTTGAGGTCAGGAGTTCGAGACCACCCTCGCCAACATAGTGATACCTGGTCTCTACTGAAAATACAAAAATTAGCTGGGTATGGTGGCGGATGCCTGTAATCCCAGCTACTCAGGAGGCTGAGGCAGGAGGATCACTTGAACCCGGGAGGTGAAGGCTGCAGTGAGCCAAGTTTGTGCCACTGCATTGCAGCCTGGGCAACAGAGTGAGACTCTGTCCTAAAAAGGAAAAATAATTAAGTATGGGCTTATTTGTGTGGGTTTAAATTATTATCACCAGCTTGGTCTGAGATCCCCAAACTGGGAAATGAATATAAAAAAATTATTCAGGACCCTGTATAATACCCTTGGGGTAACCAGCGGAAGCATATGTAAAGCTACTCTGGAGGAACAGATCCACAGTTTAAGCCACACAGGATTCTAACAGATAAAATCCCACTGAATAACCCACTTGATTGTGACAAGGCTCATAATCAAAAGTGACAAAAAATAAGAAAACAGCTCATTTACCATGAATAAGAGTCACAGATACACTACCTCTCAGGACTAGATCTCCAGTTCATTGACTATAGACCATAGAATAAGTGCATTTAAAAGGATTAAATACAGCCAGGCATGGTAGCTCATGCCTGTAATCCCAGCACTTTGGGAGGCCAAGCCAGGCGGATCACCTGAGGTCAGGAGTTCAAGACCAGCCTGGCCAACATGGTGAGACCTAACCTCTGCTAAAAATACAAAACATTAGCTGGGTGAGGTGGCACATGTCTGTAATCCCAGCTACTCAGGAGGCTGAGGCAGGAGAATCGCTTGAAACCGGAAGGAGGGGGTTGCAGTGAGCCAAGATCACGCCACTGTACTGCAGCCTGGGTGAAAGAGTGAAACTGTCTCAAAAAAAGAAAAAACAAGGTCAAATTTAAAATATATTTGGAAGGTAATGCTGATAGAGTTTACAGATAGAATGCATGTGGGTATGAGAAAGAGGAACTAAGAATGACTCCAAGTGTTTGGTTTGAATAGTGGTGTCATTTGCTAAGATGTGTAACAGTAGGGGAAGAAACAATTTTGGACATAAGATTATAAAATGCCTGTTAGATATCTGCTATCTTGTGAATGTTTGTCCCTCCAAAATTCATGTTGAAATTTAATTGACATTGTAATAATATTAAGAAGTGGGACCTTTAAGAAGTGATTAAGTTGTTAGGGCTTTACCCTCATGGGTGGGATTAATGTTGTTATAAAAGGGCACCCTCTCTTTGCCATCTGCTATGTTATTAGATGGCAAGAAGGTCTTCACCACATGCCAGTACCTTGATGTTAGGCTTCCCAACTTCTGGAACTGTGTGCCAATAAATAGCCAATAAACTTCTGGTCATTATAAAGTGCCCAAAGCTGGGTACGGTGACATACACCCATAGCCCCAGCTACCTGGGATGCTGAGGTGGGAGGATCATTTGAGCTCAAGGAGTTTGGCAACATGGAGAGACTCCATCTCTAAACAAAACAAAACAGAACACACACACCCACATACCCCTATATAAATTACCCAGTCTGGGGGAGGGGGGGGGTTTGTTTGTTTTTTGCTTTGTTTTGAGATGAGTCTCGCTGTTGCCCAGGCCAGAGTGCAGTGGCGCGATATTGGCTCACTGCAACCTCTGCCTCCCGGGTTCAAGCAGTTCTCTGCCTCAGCCTTCTGAGTAGCTGGGATTACAGGCACCCACCACCACACCTGGCTAATTTTTTTGTACTTTCAGTAGGGACGGGGTTTCACCATCTTGACCAGGCTGTTCTTGAACTCCTGACCTCATGATCCACCCGCCTCGGCCTCCCAAAGTGCTTGAAGTACAGGCGTTAGCCACCATGCATAATGGACTAAGACAACACCCAAATGGAGATGTTAGGCAATTGACTACATGAAGAGAGTTTCGGAGGAGAATGACAGCTAGGAATATCAATTTGAGAATTAGTATATAAATGCTATTTAAAACCATGGGAACACTTCATTTTTACAGTTAGAAGGTGGAAAGATGAGTAGAAACTAGTGAAGACTAAGAATAAAGGATCATGAGTGTAGAATAAGACCCAGAGATGTGAAGTCCCAAAAGCCAAGTGAAGAAAGCAGTTCAAGAAGGAAGGAAGATTGAGTTGATAAAATGCTGCTGAAAGTTCAAATAAGATAAGGATTGGTAAATAATTATTGGACTTGGCAACATGAAGGTAATTAGTGACCTGGAAAAAATAATCTCTTTATATTGAGGGAATAAAACCTGAACTGAAGTGGTTTTAAGCCAGAAGAAAGAGACAATGAGTATAGGTAACTCTTGAGGAATTTTGCTGTAGAAGGGTTCAGGGACATGGGGCAGTGACTGGAATACGACAGGAAGTCATGGGAAGAATTTTCTAAGGTGTAAGAAATACTATACCAAGTTGGTATGGTGAGGGGATGATTCTCAACACTGGCTAAATAATAGAACTAACTGGGGAATTTATTAAAGGATAGCTGCATGAGTTCAATGGCAGACTGATTAAATCAAATCTTTGGGAATTGGACCATGGTATCAGTATGTTTGTTTGTTTTACAGTTACTCAGATGATTCTAATATGCATCCAAAGTTGATCTGCTTTGGAGCAGATCAGTCAAATTAACTCGTTATATAAGTTAAACAGTATATCCAACACAGTTGAAAATTAGGAACAATAGAAATTACACAGAATGCAGCATAGATATATTAAAAATGGAAAATATGAAAAAAAGAGATGAGACATGGACAGTAGAATGAGATGGTCCAAGATATATCTCATAGGAGTTCTAGGGAAGGGTAGAGAAAATGGAGAGTAGCAACATTCAAAGAGATAATAGCAGAAAATTTCACAGAATTTCTAAGTATATGAATCTTCAAGGAAAAAAAAAATAGTGAATCCTGAAAGAATAACACTAAAGACAAAGATCTTATGAAAGCAGCCAAATAGATTACTGTGAAGGAATGAAAATTAGGCCGGGCTCAGTGATTCATGCCTGTAATCTCAGTGCTTTGGGAGGCCTAAAGAGGAGGATCACTTGAGTTCAGGAGTGAGGCTGCAGTAAGCTATGATTTTACCAGTGCGCTTCAGGCTGGGTGATAGAGGGAGACTCCATCTCAAAAAGATGTGGTCTTTTTTACTTATCTACAGAAGTGTGTCTAGTTTCTCAGCTGTAAGCATTCAGAGGTCAGGGACTAAATACAATAATTAAGTACAATGTTGCAAAAATACTGACATTAAAAATAGAAGTTCCAGGCCAGGCACAGTAGGTCAGACCTGTAATCCCAGCACTTTGGGAGGCTGAGGCAGGCGGATCACTTGAGGCCAGGAGTTCAAGACCAGCCTGGCCAACATGGCGAAACCCTGTCTCCACTAAAAATACAAAAACTAGCCAGGTGTGGTGGTGCACGTCTGTAGGCTCAGTTACTTGGGAGGCTGAGGCACAAGAATCACTTAAAACCAGGAAGCAGAGGTTGCAGTGAGCCAGGAGATTGTGCCATCGCACTCCAACCTGGGTGACAGAGCAATACTCCGTCAAAATAAAATAAAATAGCTTTGACTGTATGTAACACACTAATCATGACTAATTCGTTGGAACTAAAAATGAGATAGGACTGAAATAAAAAATAAGAATTTAATAGAAGGCATAAAAGAGCAAGAAGGGCCAGGTGCGGTGGCTCACGCCTGTAATCCCAGCACTTGGGGAGGCCGCAGCAGGTGGATCACGAGGTCAGAAGTTCGAGACCAGCCTGGCCAACCTGGTGAAACCCCGTCTCTACTAAAAATACAAAAATTAGCCAGGAGTGGTGGCGGATGCCTGTAATCCCAGCTACTCGGGAGGCTGAGGCAGAGAATTGCTTGAACCCAGGAGGCGGAGATTGCAGTGAGCCGAGATCGCGCGACTGCATTCCAGCCTGGGCGACAGAGTGAGACTCCATCTCAAAAAAAAAAAAAAAAAAAAAAGAACGCAAAGAACAAGAAGGGGTTGGACACGGTGGCTAATGCCTGTAATCCTAGCACTTTAGGAGGCTGAGATGGGAGGATCACTTGAGGCCAGGAGTTCGAGTCCAGCGTGGCCAATATGGTGAAACCCCATCTCTACAAAAAAAATACAAAAAGATTAGCTGGGCACTGGTGGCACACACCTGTAATCCCAGCTACTTTGGAGGCTGAGGCAGAAGAATCACTTGAACCTCGGAGGCAGAGGTTGCAGTGAGTCAGGTTCACACCACTGCACCCCAGCCTGGGTGACAGAGTGAGACTGTCTCAAAACAAACATAGCAAGAAGGAAGCACAGAACAAGCAAGGTAAATAGAACAGAAGATGGTAGAAATAAAACTAAATATGTTAGTGATCATGAGAAGTGTAAACTAGTCAGTTTTTTAGAAATGGTTTAATGGAAAAACAAATTCAGATAAATACTGTCGAAAACATAAAGGTGTAGAAATTGAAATTAACAACGAAAAAAATGTTGTAGGTAAATATTAACCAGAAAGTTAATGTCACCATACTAATATAAGACAAACTTTAAGGCAAAAAAAGTTATTAAGGGAACAGTTTTGGGGCGGGGGGGGGGCGGTAGTTTATAGAGATAGTGTCTTGCTCTATTATCCAGTGGAGTACAATGGTGCAATCATGGTAAACTGCAGTCTCAAACACCAGAGCTTAAACAATCCTTCCACCTCAGCTTCCTGAGTAGCTGGAACTGTGGACGCATGCCACCATGCCTGGTAATTTTTATTTATTTATTTATTTATTTTTTTGAGATAGAGTCTTGCTCTGTCACCCAGGCTTGAGTGCAGTGGTGCAATTGCTCACTGCAGCCTCAACCTCCCAGGCTCAAGCAGTC
Source organism: Homo sapiens (assembly GCF_000001405.40). Classification (NCBI taxonomy): domain Eukaryota; kingdom Metazoa; phylum Chordata; class Mammalia; order Primates; family Hominidae; genus Homo; species Homo sapiens. Next base: position 162,372 of record NW_003315905.1, on the reverse strand, counting down.
CTCCCACCTCACCCCCCCTTGCAGCCCCCCGCCAAAGTAGCTGGAACTGTAGGCGTGCACTACCACACCTGGCTAATTTTTTATATTTTATAAATGTGGGGTTTTGTCATGTTGCCCAGGCTGGTCTTGAACTCCTGAGCTCATGGGATCCACCCGTCTCAGCCTCCCAAAGTGCTGGGATTATAGGTGTGAGCCACCACCACGCCCAGCCTAATGTTTTAAATTAATGGTAGAGACAGGCTATCACTATTTTGCATAGGCTGGAATTTTTTTTTTTTTCTTTTTTTTACTGATACAGGGTCTGGCTCTGTTGTCCAGGCAGGAGTTCAGTGGCTTGATCAGGCTCACTGCAGCCTCAGCCTCCTGTGCTTGAGCAATTCTCATTGAACTGTCTTGGCACCCTTGTTGAAAAATCAATTGACCGTAAATATTAGGGTGTATTTCTGAGTTTTTTTCCATTGATCACATATCTGTCTTTAAGCCAGTACCACACTATTGTTATATCCATTGTAGTTTTCATCTCAGACACTGGTTTTCATCTCTAGAAGTTTGATTTGAGTCTTTTTGTACATCTTCCATTTCTCTGCGTAACTTTTTGAAAATATGGAATGCAGTTACAATATTAATATCTGTTTTAAAGTCATTTTAATTCTAACAGAATTAGTTCTGGGTAAATAGATTTCTTCTGATTGATTATTCTTCTCATTAGGGGTCATGTTTTCTTGCCTCTTTGCAAGCCTGTTAATCTTTTTTTTTTTTATTATACTTTAAGTTTTAGGGTACATGTGCACATTGTGCAGGTTAGTTACATATGTATACATGTGCCATGCTGGTGGGCTGCACCCACTAACTCGTCATCTAGCCTTAGGTATATCTCCCAATGCTATCCCTCCCCCCTCCCCCCACCCCACCACAGTCCCCAGAGTGTGGTATTCCCTTTCGTGTGTCCATGTGATCTCATTGTTCAATTCCCACCTATGAGTGAGAATATACGGTGTTTGGTTTTTTGTTCTTGCGATAGTTTACTGAGAATGATGATTTCCAATTTCATCCATGTCCCTACAAAGGATATGAACTCATCATTTTTTATGGCTGCATAGTATTCCAAGCCTGTTAATCTTTAATCAAATTCCAGATATTGTGAATTTTATATTTTTGGGTGCTGGATTATTTTTATTCCTATAAATCTTGAGGGTTGATTTGCAATTCAGTTATTGTATTTGTCAACTTTGCTTTTTTTTTTTTTTTTTATAATTTGTTAGGCCAGTACTTAAACTAAGCAGTACTTAGTTTAGGGCTAAAAATTCCCTAGTGCTAAGGTAGGACTTTCCTGTGCACTCTACCCGATACCCCATAAATTGAGTTTTTCTAATCTGGCTACTAAGAACAGGCACTATTCCTGGCCCCATGTGAGTTCTGGGTAGTGCTTGCTCCATTCCTTTCATATGTTTTTTTTTCCCCCAGTCTTGGATAGTTTCCTCAGTCACATGTGCTGATCAGCACTCTGATATCCTCAGTATTTGAGGGGATCATTTTGCAGATCTCTGGGCTTCTGAGACTTTCTCTGCAGCTTTCTCTGCTGTGATACTCTGTCCTTTGAAATCTGGCTGCCATTATCTCATTATGTTCTCTGCTCCATCTCTTCAACTCAGGAGTTTCTCAGGCTGTGCCTCAATCTCCCTCCCCTCCTGCATCATGTCCTGGAAACTCTCTTAAGGCAATAAGCCAGGCCAGTTGTAGAGCTCACTTCATTTGCTTCTTGTCACTCTGGGATCACTGTCCATTGTTGCCTGATGTCCATTGTTTTCAAAACCCTTGTTTTTATGGTTTTTGTTTGGGTTTTTTTTTTTTTTTTTTGGTGGTGGTGGTGGTTCTTTTAGGTGAGAGGGTAAATCTCTGGTCTCTGTTGAATCATCTTGACCAGAAGTGGAAATTGCAGCATTGGTTTTAACATCAACAAATTGATCCCTAAATGTTGAGGTGGAGAATGGATAACTAATTGTATATTCCTGCTGTGGGATTCTACACAGCAGTTAAAACAAATGAAGTAGAGCTTTATGCAGTTACTTGGACAAATTTTAAATATAAAAAATTGAAGGCTGGGCATGGTGCCTCATACCTGTAATCCTGGTGCTTTGGGAAGCCAAGGCAGGAGGATCGTGTGAGGCCAGGAGTTCAAGACTAACCTGGGCAACATGACAAAACCCCATCTTTACAAATAACTTTTTTTTTTGTAAATGTCGCTTCTCCTCTAGTGGCTGAGGTAGGAGGGTGCAATGAGGCCAGGAATTTGAGGCTGCAGATTGCTAAGATGGTGCCTGTGAATAGCCACTGCACTCCAGCCTGGGTAACATAGTGAGACCCCATATATTAGCCAAGTGTGGTGGTGTGCACCTGTAGTCCTAGCTGCTTGGGAGGCTGAGGTGGGAGGATTGCTTGAGCCCAGGAGGTCAAGGTTACAGTGAGACATGATCACACCACTGCATTCCAGCCTGGGCAACAGAGTGAGATACTGTCTCTTAAAAAAAAAAATGCCAGGCACAGTGGCAAAAATTAGCCTGGCATGGCAGCGTGAGCCTATAATCCTAGCTACTTGGGAGGCTGAGGCGGGAGGATCACTTGAGCCCAGGAAGCGGAGGTTGCAGTGAGCCGACATGGTCCACTGCACTCCAGCCTGGGCGACAGCGAGACTCTGTCTCAAAAAAAAAAAAAAAAAAGGCTGGGCGAGGTGGCTCACGCCTGTAATCCCAGCACTTTGGGAGGCCGAGGCGGGCAGATCACCTGAGGTCAGGAGTTTAAGACCACCCTGACCAACATGGTGAAACCCTGTCTCTACTAAAAATACAAAAAAATTAGCCAGGAGTGGTGGCAGGCGCCTGTAATCCCAGCTACTCCGGAGGTTGAGGTAGGAGAATTGCTTGAACCCGGGAGGCGGAGGCTGCAGTGAGCCGAGATTGTGCCATTGCACTCCAGCCTGGGCAACGAGTGAAACTCCATCTCATACATACATACATACATACATACATAAAATTTTAAAAAACAAAAGCAAAAACAATATTGGAAAGAAAAATGAAGAACAGTACAGAAGTGATAATTTCTAAAAATATACAAACTATGCTATATATTATTAATGATTACATGTATATGCAATAAACTTATTTAATATTTATGAGAATGGAAACAACATCTGAAGGAGGAGAGAGGGCGAGAAAGGGTTGAGAGTGAAGTTACACAGTGCTTCAGATTTATCTAATGTTTTGTCTCACTAAAAATAGGAGACCACATAGATGACTAACAACTAGTATCTAAAATACATAAAGAACTCTCAAAACTCAACAGTAAAAAGGAACAGCAAAGAGCTCGGTTAGGAAATGAGCAAAAGACATGAACAGAAGTTTCACAGAAGAGAATTACAGATGGCAAATAAACATGTAAAAAGAACATCATTAGCCATTAGGGAAATGAAAATTGAAACCACAATGAAATATTACCACACACCTATCCAAATGGCTTAAGTAAGAAATAATGACACCAGCCAGGTGCAGTGGCACACACTTCAAGTCGCTTCTCCTCTAGTGGCTGAGGTAGGAGGATGGAATGAGGCCAGGAATTTGAGGCTGCAGATTGTTAAGATGGTGCCTATGAATAGCCACTGCACTCCAGCCTGGGTAACATAGTGAGACCCCATCTATTAAATAACAGTAATAAAAATGACACCACCAAATGCTGGTGAGGGTGTGAAAAACCTGGATTTCTCATACATTGCATCTGGGAATATATGATGGTATAGCTACTCTGGAAAACAGATTGGCAGTTTCTTATAAAACCGAACATTCACTTACCATATGACTCAGCAGTTGCACACTTAGGCATTTATCCCAGATAAATGAAAACTTTTCTACAAAAACTTTCCCATGAATGTTCATAGCAGCTGTATTCCTAATAGCCAAAAACGGAAAACAACTCAGATGTCCTTCAGTGAGTAAATAAACCATGGTACATCCATACCATGGAATACTACTCAGCAATAAAAAGGAATAAACTGTTGGTACTTGCAGCCACTTCGATGAATCTCAGTGAAATTATCCTAAGTGAAAAAGGCCAGTCCTAAAAGTTACATACTCTATGATTCCAACTTTATAATAGTTTGAAAAGCAAACATTTTAGAAATGGAGAACAGATTAGTGGCTTCTAGGAGTTAGGAATGAATGTGGCAGGAGATGGGAGGGGATAGGGTAGATGTTGTTATAAAACAGTTAACACGAGGGCTCCTTGAGGTGATGGAACGGTGCTGTTTCTTAACTGTGATGATGGATACATGAACTTACAAATGTGACAAAATTGTGTAGAACTAAGTACATACAAATGAATACTAATAAAATGGGAAATCTGAAGATCTGCTTATTGTATCAATGTTGATATCCTGCTGGTGATATGGTACTATAGTTTTGCAAGATGTTACCATTGGGGGAAACTAGATAAAGGGTACATGAGATCTTCTTTATCTCCATCTTTTTTTTTCTTTTTTTCTTTTTTTTTTTTTTTTTGAGACGGAGTCTTCCTCTGTCACCCAGGCTGGAGTGCAGTGGCCTGATCTCGGTTCACTGCAACCTCGGCCTCCTGGGTTCACGCCATTCTCCTGCTTCAGCTTCCTGAGTAGCTCAGACTACAGGCACATGCCACCACGCCCGGCTAACTTTTTCTATTTTTAGTAGAGACGGGGTTTCACCGTGTCAGCCAGGATGGTCTTGATCGCCTGACCACATGATCCGCTCTCCTCGGCCTCCCAGAGTGCTGGGATTACAGGCGTGAGCCACCGTGCCCGGCCTATCTCCATCTTTGAAATATTTTATAATAAGAACAATCTCTTCAGTGTGCACAGTAAAATTCTCTGTGACCATTTGAGACAAATCAGAAAAAATAGTGGAAACATAAAAATGAAAATTTTCTGCTTATTAATATTTACTTCAAAGTTTTTAGATTTTAAAAAGATAAACTAGAACTTATGAAAGTATTTTTTTAAGAATGTATTTTCGGCTGGGCCCAGTGGCTCACACCTGTAGTCTCAGCACTTTGGGAGGCTGAGGCGGGTGGATCACCTGAGGTCGGGAGTTCGAGACCAGCTTCACCAACACAGAGAAACCCTGTCTCTACTAAAAATACAAAATTAGCTAGGCGTGGTGGCGCATGCCTGTAATCCTAGCTACTCGGGAGGCTGAGGCAGGAGAATTGCTTGAACCCAGGAGGCGGAGGTTGCGGTGAGCCGAGATCGCGCCATTGCACTCCAGCCTGGGCAACAAGAGCAAAACTCCACCTAAAAAAAAAATAAGTATTTTCAGCAGGGCGCAGTGGCTCATGCCTGTAACCCCAGCACTTTGGGAGGCCGAGGCAGGTGGATCACCTGAGGTCAGGAGTTCAAGACCAGCCTGGACAACATGGTGAAACCCCCGTCTCTACTAAAAATACAAAAAATTAGCCGGGCGTGATGGCAGGTGCCTGTAATCCCAGCTACTCAGGAGGCTGAGGCAGGAGAATCGCTTGAACCTGGGAGGCGGAGGTAGCAGTGAGACAAGATCGTGCCATTGCACTCCAGCCTGGGCAACAAGAGTGAGACTCCGTCTCAAAAAAAAAAAAAAAAAAAAAAAGAAAGTATTTTCATTTCTACTTAGGATTTTAAAACCAAAACAGCTTTTTGTTTGAGACAGAATCTCGCTTTGTCGCCAGGTCTAGGGTGCAATGGCATGATCTCAGCTCACTGCAACCTCTGCCTCCCAGGTTCAAGTGATTCTCCTGCCTCAGCCTCCCAACCAGCTGGGATTACAGGCACGCACCTGCCACCAGCCCAGCTAATTTTTTGTGTTTTTAGTAGAGATGGGGTCTCACCATGTTAGTCAGGCTGGTTTCAAACTCCTAACCTCAAGTGATCTGCCTGCTTTGGCCTCCCAAAATGCTGGGATTACAGGTGTGAGCCACTGCACCCAGCCTTCAAAACAGTTTTTTAAACTTACTTTTTATGTGTTAAATACTAGGACTGTTGTCTCCTTCATTATAAATACTGATAACTTTTCATAAGTAACATAACCATCTTATGATCTTTTAGACTATTACTACTTTAAACTTTTAAGTTACATTATATAACTATAGGCTTCACTTTCATCATTTTTGAGAATTAGAGGTTTTCCAACCTAGCTAACAATTTAGATTTTTCTGTTCTCTGATGTGATGGAAGAACAAAGAACAAATATAAAGGGCCTTGTACATTGCCTTGTGAAGACCAGGTACTCCTATATATGTTAATTTATTTTGTTCACCCTCTTCATTCCCCTATCCTCTGTCTGCCTCTCAGGATCCTCTTAAGTCTTTGCTGCAAATCCAGGTTTTGGTTTAATGTTGTCAGAAACTTTACAAGCATGAATGTAGAGCTATTTCATTTGGCATTCTTGTTTCTTATAGGAGTCCAACAGCAAGTTTAAAGTTGGACATTTTTCTTTTTCTGCTCTAGTTGTTTGACACAACTACTCTCTTCCTTAAACTTTCTTTTTTTTTTTTTTTTTTTTTTTTTTGAGACAGGGTCTCGTTCTGTCACCCAGGCTGGAGTGAAGTGACCTGATCTCAGTTCACTGCAACCTCTGCCTCCCAGGTTCAAGTGATTCTCATGCCTCAGCCACCTGAGTAGCTGGGATTACAGGCATGCACCACCACACCCGGCAATTTTTGTATTTTTAGTAGAGACAAGCTTTTGCCATGCTGGCCAGGCTGATCTCGAACTCCCAGCCTCAAATGATCTGCCATCCTTGGCCTCCCAAAGTGTTAGGATTACAGGCGTGAGCCACTGTGTCCAGCCTCTGCCTTCTTATATACTGCTTTTCATCCTCACATTTCAGTAAAGAGAAAATTCACCCAAAGGCAAAAGCTGAAGCCAGGAAATAATCCTTTTCTCTGACCCCAAATCTAAGTCACCAACTCCTATCAATTCTATTTTCTTCCTCTGAATGTAAAAGAGAAAATATGCACATGGTGGCTCGCATCTGTAGTTCCAGCTACTCAGGAGGCCGAGGCATGAGAGTCGCTTGAACCCGGGGGCCCAGGCTTCAGTGAGCCATGATTGCACCACTGTACTCCAGACTGGATGACAGAGTGAGACTCAAAAAAGGGGGAAAAAAAAAGAGGCAGGGCGCGTCTCTTTGCAGTGAGCTGAGATTGTGCCATTGCACTCCAGCCTGGGCAACAGAGCAAAAACTCCATCTCAAAACAAAAAAAAAGGCAGAGAAAATGAGTTCATGTAAACATCCAATTATGTATTTTTGTTATATGCACATCTTTCTATTGGAATGAAATTCTGGAAAACAGTAATCTAGTCGTTTTCCAAAAATCTTTACTCCTAATGTCTGACTTTGACACATAGTGTATGATTAATATTTGTGGGGTGGATGGATGGATAGATGTGCAGATACATGAATACACAGTACTTGCTTCTTAAGATGTCTGGCTCTGAGAAGGGTGTTGTACTGTGTAATAGATTTTGGAAATGAGCTAGACCTGTGTTGTAATTCCAGATTTACTTTCTAAAGCTTTGCAGTTGGGATACATCTCTTCCCACCTGTGAAGTAGAAACAATACTACCTACTTAGTAGCTTGTTGAAAAGATTTAAGTAAGTTTCTTCTCCAACTGGAATGGAGAAAAAAAATATATAAGTAAGAATACGTGATAAAGTGTCCAATAGCATGTTTGGATTTAAGTGGGTGGTTAAGAAATAGTATTTGTTATTATTAGGATCACAGAAGAAACAAAAAAAGATTGGTTAGGCATTAAAAGGCAATATGCAACATTCATTTTACAAAATTTTCTTTTTTTTGCAGAGGAATATTTATGTGATAAGTTTTCAGTGAATATTATTTTTACAGTTTTATAATAGGGGACATAATTTAACTGTAGAATTTTTTTTTAGTATATTTACAAAGTTGTGCAACCATCACAACAGTCTGTTTTAGAAGAACATTTCCGATCACCCTAAAAAGATCACGTGTACCCTTCCGTAATCAGTTATGTTGGATTTTGTTTTTGCAATTTTGTTGTGGTAAAATATATGTAACATGAAATTTACCATCTTAACCATTTGTAAGTATATAATTCAGTGGATTTAAGTACATTCACATTGTTTTGCAACCATCACCACTATCTACTTGCAGAACTTTTTCTTCATCCCAGAGACTCTGTTCCCATTAAACAATCACCCCTCACTCCCCACCCCTACCTTAGCTGGAAACCTCTATTCTACTGTGTTTTTTTTTTTGTTTGTTTTGTTTTTGGGGTTTTTTGTTTGTTTTTGTTGTTGTTGTTTTTGAGATAAGGGCATCTTACTCTGTTGCCTAGGCTAGTCTTCAACTCCTGACACTCAAGCATTCCTCCCACACCAGCCTCCCAAGTAGCTAGAATTATAGGCACTTGCCACCATGCTCAGCCCTCTATTATACTTTCTATCTCTAGGTACCTCATATATGTGGAACCATACAATATTTATCCTTTTGTGTCTGGTTTATTTTACTCGCATAATGTTTTCAAAGTTCGTCCATTTTACATTGGATTTTGAGGGAGGCATGGTTGTGAGTGCATAAAGTTGAGGTTTATAGATTAGTAAAGACAAAGAGTAGCCGTGGATAGATTGGTCAGAATTCTCAAGCTATCTATTAGGAAAGACTTACCTCAGACATTCAGGTATCTGGGTTCTGGTTTCTCACAACCTCTGATGGGTCAGTTTCTTTCTTGAATCATTAATGTATAGTAAGGGGAAATTATTTGACTTACTTTCAGCTGTTTGTATAATTGTCAATTCAAGGAGCCAAGGTAATGATGGCACCCCAAACTCTAGCTCTAGGTTATTGAATTTTGTTGTTTTGTCATATACTATCAGTGCACGTGAATATATCTCAAAACTTAGAATACTGTAGTATATCAACTTAAATGTGTATATCTTGCTATGTGTACTTAAGAGACAGGGTCTTGCTCTGTCACCCAGGCTGGAGTAGAGTGGCGCAATCATAGCTCACTGCAGCCTCAAACTCCTGGGCTCAAATGATCTTCCCACTTCAGTCACCATGCCTTTTTTTTTTAACTTTTTTAGGCTGGGTGCAGTGGCTCACGCCTGTAATCCCAGCACTTTGGGAGGCCAAGGTGGGCGGATCACTTGAGGTCAGGAGTTCAAGACTAGCCTGGCCAACATGGAGAAACCTCGTCTCTACTAAAAATACAAAAATTAGCCGAGTATGGTGGCGAACACCTGTAATCTCAGCTACTTGGAAGGCTGAGGCATGAGAATCACTTGAACCTGGGAGGCTTGCAGTGAGCCGAGGCTGTGCCACTGCACTCCAGCCTGGGTGACAGACTGTCTAAAAAAAAAAAAAAAAAAACAAATTTTTTTTTAGAGATGAGTCTCCCAGGATGGTCTCAAACTCTCAGCCTCCAATGATCCTCTTGTGTCACTGGGATTACACACACAAGCCACTGCCTTACTGTGTACTTTTCTAAAGTATAGACATACCTCAGAGATTTTGTATGTTCCATTCCAGACCACCACAATAAAGCAAATATTGCAATAAAGCAAGTCACACAAATTTTTTGGTTTCCCAGTGTATATAAAAGTTATGTTTAGGCCAGACGCAGTGGCTCACGCCTGTAATCCAAGCACTCTGGAAGGCTGAGGCGGGAGGATTGCTTGAAGTCAGGAGTTTGAGACCAGCCTGGTCAACATGGTGAAACCTTGTCTCTACTAAAAATACAAAAAGTAGCTGGGCATGGTGGTACGCGCCTGTAATCCCAGCTACTCAGGAGGCTGAGGCAGTAGAATCGCTTGAACTCAGGAGGCAGAGGTTGTAATGAACCGAGATCACGCCACTCCACTCCAGCCTGGACGACAGAGCAAGAGTCTGTCTCAAAAAAATAATAATAATAATAAAATAAAAGTTATGTTTACATTATGCTGTAGTCTATTAAGTGCAATAGGATTATGTCTAAGAAAACAATGAATACATCTTAAATAAAAAACACTTTCTTGCTAAAAAGTACTAACAATCATCTGAGCCTTCAGCAAGTCATTATCTTTTAGCTGGTAGAGTGTCTTGCCTCCATGTGGATGACTGCTCACCCATTAGTGTGGTGGTTGCTGAAGGTTGGGGTAACCTGGCAATTTTTTTTTTTTTTTGAGATTACAGGCATGAGCCACTGCGCCTGCCCAACCTGGCAGTTTCTTAAAATAAGATGATGAAGTTTGCCACATGGATTGACTCTCCTTTCATGAAAGATTTTCATATAGCATGCGGTACTGTTTAATACCATTTTATCCACAGTAGAACTGCTTTCAACATTGGTGTCATTTCTTTCAAACCCTGCTGCTTTGTCAACTCAAGTTTATGGAATATTCTAAATCTTCTGGTGTCATTTCAACAGTGTTCACAGCATCTTACCAGGAGTAGATTCCATCTCAAGAAACCACTTTCTTTGCTCATCCATAAGAAGCAACTCCTTATCCATTCAAATTTTTGTTTTTTGTTTGTTTTTTAAAGAGACTCAGTTGTGGTCTGTCACCCAAGCTGGAGTGCAGTGGCATGATCGTAGCTCATTGTAGCCTCAAACTCCTGGGCTCATGCGATCCCCTCACCTCACTCTCCTGAGTGAGGTGCATGCCACCGTGCCCAACTAATTTTTTTTTTTATTTTCTGTAGAGATAGGGTCTCACTTTGTTGTCCAGGTTGGTCTCGAACTCCTGGGCTCAAGTGATCCTCCTGTCTCAGCCTCCCAAAGTGCTGGGATTACAGTGCTGGGATCCCAGCTGTGCCTTGCCCAGGCTCCCTTCTAATTGTAGTTTTCTTGCTGTTTCTACCACTTTTGCAGTCATTTCCTCCATTGAAACCTTGAACCTGTCAAAGGTCATGTATGAAAGTTATAATCAACTTCTTTCAAATTCCTGTTAGTGTTGATAGTTTTAGGCCGGGCGTGGTGGCTCATGCCTGTAATCCCAGCAATTTGGGAAGCCGAGGCAGGCAGATCACCTGAGGTCGGGAGTGCGAGACCAGCCTGACCAACATGGAGAAACCCTTTCTCTACTAAAAATACAAAATTAGCTGGGCCTGGGGTGGCACATGCCTGTAATCCCAGCTACTCGGGAGACTGAGGCAGGAGAATTGCTTGAACCTGGAAGGTGGAGGTGAGCTGAGATCGCACCATTGCACTCCAGCCTGGGCAACAAGAGCAAAACTCCGTCTTAAAAAAAAGAAAAAGAAAAGAAAAATGTTAATAGTTTTACTTCCTCCTGCAATGGTAAATAATTTCCAGGAGGTTTTTTAAATTTTTATTTTTATAGAGACAGGGTCTTGGCTGGGCGTGGTGGTCATGCCTGTAATCCCAGCACTTTGGGAGGCTGAGGTGGGCGGATCACGAGGTCAGGAGTTCGAGACCATCCTGGCTGACACGGTGAAACCCCATCTCTATAGCAAAAATACAAAAAATTAGCTGGGCGTGGTGGTGGGCGTTTGTAATCCCAGCTGCACGGAAGGCTGAGGCAGGAGAATGGCATGAACCCAGGAGGTGGAGGTTGCAGTGAACTGAGGTTGTGCCACTGCACTCCAGACTGGGCAACAGAGTGAGACTCTGTCTCAAAAACAAACAAAAAACAACCAAAAAAAAACATAAAAAAAAAGAGAGAGAGACAGGGTCTTACTGTGTTGCCCAGGCCAGTCTCAAACTCCTGGGCTCAAGTGATCCTCCCACGTTGGCCTCGAAAGCACTGGAATTACTTTTGTGAGCCACCATGCTTGGCCTGAAATATATTAATATTTCTTTTTTCTTTTTTTTTTTTTTTTTTTTGGAGACTGAGTTTTGCTCTCGTTGCCCAGGCTGGAGCGCAGTGGCATGATCTTGGCTCACTGCCACCTCCCCCTCCCAGGTTCAGGCTATTCTCCTGCCTCACCCTCCCATGTAGCTGGGATTACGGGCATGTGCTGCCAAGCCTAATTTTGTATTTTTAGTAGAGACGGGGTTTCACCATGTTGGTCAGACTGGTCTCGAACTCTTGACCTTAGGTGATCCACCTGCCTCGGCTTCCCAAAGTGCTGGGATTACAGGCGTGAGCCCCCATGCCCAGCAATATTTCTTACATAGTAAGACTTGAAAGTTAAAATTACTCCTTGATTCATGGTCTGTAGAGTGGATGTGTTAGCCACATGAAAACAACATTAATCTCCTTGTTCATCTCCATCAGAGCTCTTGGTGACTGGGTGCATTGTCAATGAGCAGTAATATTTTGAAAGGGATCTTTTTTCTGAGCAGTAGATCTCAGCCATGAGCTTAAAATATTCAGTAAACCATACTGTAAACAGATGTGCTGTCATCCAGACGTCGTTGTTCCATTGAGAGAGTGCAGGCAGAGTAGATTTAGCCTAATTCTTACCTTTTTTCTAAGTGATGGAGTCTTGCTATGTTGTCCAGGCTGGAGTGCAGTGGCTATTCACAGGTGCAATCATAGTGCTCTACAGCCTCAAAATCCTGAGCTCAGGCAACTCTGCTGCCTTAGCCTCCCACATAGCCGAGACTACTGGTGTGCACTACTATGCCCAGTTTATTTAACATAATTCTTAAGGGCCTTAGAATTGTTGGAATGGTAAATGATCACTGACTTCAATTTAAAGTCACCAGCCATATTAGCCTCTAACAAGAGAGTCAGCCTGTCTTTTGAAGCTTTGGAGCCTGGTATTGACATCTCTCTATGAAAGTCTTCTAGTAGAAGGCTATTTTATCTACATTGAAAATGTGCTGTTCACATGGGCTTATAGATGAAAACAGTAGACACTGAGTACTCCAAAAAGGGGAGGAATGGAGTGGGAGATAAGGGTTGAAAAACTACCCATTGGGTACTATGTTAGCTATTTGGGTGATGAGTTCAATAGAAGCCCAAACCCCAGCATTATGCAGTATATCCATTTAATAAATCTACACATGTATCCCTTAAATCTAAAATAAAAATTAGAAAATTTTAAAAAGGGAAAAAAATGTACTGTTAATGTGTCACTTTTGTGGGTTATCTCAGCTAGATCTTATGGATAACTTGCGTTAGCTTCTACATCAGGACTTGGCTACTGCTGTACCTTGTACTTTGGTGTTATGGCGTGACTTCTTAAACCTCATGAACCAGCCTCTGCTAGTTTCCAGCTTTTCTTTTGCAGCTTCCTCATTTCTCCCAGCCTTCACAGAATTGAAGAGAGTTAGGGCCTGATTCTGAATTACGCTTTGGCTTAAAGGAATGCTGTGGCTGGTTTGATCTTGCCAGTGCACTAAAACTTTCTCCATATTGCCAGTAAGGCCTTTGCACTTTGCCATTATTTGTGTGTGCATTGGAATAGCACTTTTAATTTCCTTCAGGAACTTTTCCTTTGCATTCACAACTTGGCTAACTTTTTTTTTTTTGAGATGGAGTCTTGCTCTTGTCGCCTAGGCTGGAGTGCAGTGGTGCGATCTTGGCTCACTGAAACCTCTGCCTCCCGGGTTCAAGTGATCCTCCTGCCTCAGCCTCCCAAATAGCTGGGATTACAGGCATGTGCCACAACACCCGACTAATTTTTGTATTTTTAGTAGAGACGGGGTTTCACCATGTTGGCCAGGCTGGTCTCGAACTCCTGACCTCAAGTGATCAGCCCGCCTTGGCTTCCCAAAGTGCTGAGATTACAGGCGTGAGCCACTGTGCCTGGCCTTGTTTTCCTTTAACAAAGTATCTGCAAAGCACAATAAAGTGAAATGCAATAAAATGAGGCATGGCTGTACTTTTTGCGTCTAGGCGTATAATCAGTTGAGTGGCAGACTTTTCCTACTCTGCCCAACTTACCATGGTATGTCCAGTTACTGCTCTCACTTATATAGTGTTGATTGAACTACTAAAGACATTGTTAACTATAGAGTTAGGGTAGTGGTCTATAGCACTCCACTTTCTAGTCCCTCCATCTGAAGATATTTTTCAGAGGTAAATTGGGAGGTGAAGTGTGATAAAAATGTTCTAAAGTTGATTATAATGATAGTTGCACAGCTCTGAATATACTAAACATCATTGAATTGTACACTTTACATAGGTGAATTGTATGATATGTGAATTATATCTCAGTAAAGCTATTCTTTTTTTTTTATTATTTTACTTTAAGTTCTGGGATACATGCACAGAACCTGAAGGTTTATTACATAGGTATACATGTGCCATGGTGGTTTGCAGCAGCTATCAACCCGTCATCTAGGTTTTAAGCCCCACATGTATTAGATATTTGTCCTAATGCTCTCCTTCCTTTTGCCTCCTACCCCCCAACAGACCCAGGTGTGTGATGTTCCCCCTTCCTGTGTCCATGTGTTCTCATTGTTCAACTCCCACTTACGAGTGAAAACAGGCAGTGTTTGGTTTTCTGTTCCTTTGTTAGTTTGCTGAGATTGATGGGTTCCAGCTTCATCCATTTAAACTGCAAAGGACATGAACTCATTCTTTTTTTATGGCTGCTAAAGCTATTCTTTAAAAAGGGAGGGAATTAAGAAGCATTAACCCAAAATTCAGAAGTTTGGGTTGTGACTTTTATCTCTAAAAGGTGTATTTCTGCCTATAATCCCAAGTGCTTTGAGAGGCTGACGCAGGAGGATCATTTGAGCCCAGGAGTTCCAGACCAGCCTGGGCAACATAGTGAGACCTTGTCCTACAAAAAACTAAAAAATTAGCCCAGTGTGGTGGCACGCGTCTCTAGCTACTCAGGAGGCTGAGGTGTGGAGGATTGTTGGAGCCCTAGAGTTTGAAGCTGCAATAAGCTATGATTGTGCCACTTGCACCCTAGCCTGGGTGATAGAGTGAGACCCTGTCTCTCAAAAATAAAAATAAAAAGGCCGGGCGCGGTGGCTCACGCCTGTAATCCCAGCACTTTGGGAGGCCGAGGCGGGCGGATCACGAGGTCAGGAGATCGAGACCATCCCGGCTAAAACAGTGAAACCCCGTCTCTACTAAAAATACAAAAAATTAGCCGGGCGTAGTGGCGGGCGCCTGTAGTCCCAGCTACTTGGGAGGCTGAGGCAGGAGAATGGCGTGAACCCGGGAGGCGGAGCTTGCAGTGAGCCGAGATCCCGCCACTGCACTCCAGCCTGGGCGACAGAGCGAGACTCTGTCTCAAAAAAAAAAATAAATAAATAAAATAAAATAAAATAAAAATAAAAACAGGCCGGGCACAGTGGCTAATGCCTGTGATCCCAGCACTTCAGGAGGCCGAGGCAGACAGATCACAAGGTCAAGAGATTGAGACCATCCTGGCCAACATGGTGAAACCCTGTCTCTACTAAAAATACAAAAATTAGCTGGACGTGGTGGCACACACCCATAGTCCCAGCTACTTGGGAGGCTGAGGCAGGAGAATTGCTTTGAACCTGGGAGGCAGAGGTTGCAGTGAGCTGAGATCTCACCACTCCACTCCAGCCTGGCAACAGAACAAGAGTCCATCTCAAATAAATACATAAATACAAATATAATAAAGGGTGTGTGTTTCATTTTTTGGTCTTGTTTTGTTTTTGTTTTGAGACAGTTTCACTCTGTCACCCAGGCTGGAATGCAGTGGTGTGATCTTGGCACACTGCAACCTCCACCTTGCAGGTTCAAGTGATTCTCATGCCTCAGCCTCTCAGGTAGCTGGGACTACATGAAAGCTCCACCATGCCTAATTTTAGTATTTTTAGTGCAGACAGGGTTTCACCATGTTGGCCAGGCTGGTCTCGAACTCCTGATCTCAAGTGATCTACCCACCTCAGCCTCCCAAAGTGCTGGGATTACAAGCGTGAGCCACTGCACCCGGCCCCTGTTTCGTTTTATTTATTTTTCATTGCAACTGGAAAAGAATCTTTTTAATTTAATTCATTCATTCATTCGTTGATTCTTTGAGATGGAGTCTCACTCTGTCGCCCAGGCTGGAGTGCAGTGGCGAGATCTCAGCTCACTGCAGCCTCTGCCTTCTGGGTTCAAGCAATTCTTTGCCTCAGCTTCCCAAGTAGCAGGGATTACAGGCGCCCGCCACCACGCCCAGCTAAGTTTTTATATTTTTAGTAGAGATGGGGTTTCACCATCTTAGCCAGGCTGGTCTTGAACTCCTGACCTCGTGATCCACCCTCCTCGGCCTCCCAAAATGCTGGGATTATAGGTGTGAGCCACCACGCCCAGCCCTGGAATAGAAAAAAATTTTAAGTACTCCATTTTTACAAATGAAATTGAAACTTGGGAAGGTAAAATAACTTACTAAATATTTGACCTGGTTAACATAAGTAGCAATTTTAAACTGTGTTTCTTTGACTTAAAAGATTTTCTTACTATTTTATCTTTGCTGTTTCCTACCAGGACAACAAACCTGGATTTGAAAGTGTTGGAGAAAATCTAAATCTGAATTTGCATTTAGATTTTTTTTTTGTTGTTTCCTGGAGAGAGAGCCTCGCTGTATCGCCCTAGCTGGAGTTCAGTGGTACGATCAGGCTCAGTGCAGCCTCAACCTCCTGGGCTCAAGCAATCCTCCCACCTTAGCCTCCCAAGTAGCTGGGACTACAGGCATGTGCCACCATGCCTGACAAATTTTTAATTTTTTTGTAGAGATGGGGTCTCACCATTTTGCCCAGGCTGGTCTTGAACTCCTGGGCTCAAGCCATCCTCCCACCTCAGCCTCTGGAGGAGCTGACAATACAAGTTGAGCCACCATGTCCGGCCTACATTTAGATTTTGTTAGTGTAAAAAAAATCAAAGTGAAAAGGGAAGATAATGATTAATTAGCTTGTCGTTAACACTTTTTCTTCATGAGTAAAGAAAAAAATAGTGCTTCTTATCAGGCTAAGCACCTGAGTTCTTCATTTTAAAAAGCATCTTAAATGTCTTCAGATTTTGAATCTGCTAACCCTGGTGACATGCAGTTTACCTATATAACAAACCTGCACATGTACCCTTGAACATAAAATAAAAGCCAAAAAAAAAAAAAGATTTTCAATCTGTATCCATGTAGAATTAAGGGCACGTGTCAACAGGCCTTGCTTATGTAGATTTAAGTTTACTTAAATTGCTGGGTTGAATGCCCAGAAATCTCCTTTAATATAAATGTTCTAGGACAATATCAGGTAGGACATAGCTTAGTTAACTTTGAACTTTGTGTGTGTGTGTGTGTGTGTGTGTGTGTGTGTGTGTATGTGTGAGAGAGAGATTCTTGTTAATAACTTCACCATTCCACCTTTTTAAAAATGGACTATTTAAGGGACTTTATTCTGATCTTACTTGTATTTTTCTTTCCATAGGATGGATAGAATGACAGAAGATGCTCTTCGCTTGAATCTGTTGAAGCGGAGCTTGGACCCAGCAGATGAGCGAGATGATGTCCTGGCAAAGCGACTCAAAATGGAGGGGCATGAGGCCATGGAACGTCTGAAAATGTTGGCATTGCTCAAAAGGAAGGATTTGGCAAATCTTGAGGTGCCACATGAGTTACCCACCAAACAGGATGGCAGTGGTGTCAAGGGCTATGAAGAAAAACTTAACGGGAATCTCAGGCCTCATGGAGACAACAGGACTGCTGGAAGGCCAGGCAAAGAAAACATCAATGATGAGCCTGTGGATATGAGTGCTAGACGGAGGTATGGCTCAGTTCAGCTGCCTCCAGGGATAGGGTCGTCTCATAAAGCCTGTGAAAATGGAATGAATTCCAATGAGAGGAGGGTGTTTTTCATCCTAAAGATTCTTAAAAGAAGATATATCATCGAGTTTGACCATAAATTCATTTTATTTCCAAATGAAACCAGGTGCCTCAAAAACTGCTTAGCCTACAGAGAATCGTAGTTCTTACTCTTAAGAGAAAAAATGGTCATTTCTAGATAAAGGGGGCACTAGAGAGCTGATAGGCCAAATGGAAGTGAGTTAATATATACCTTCATTCTAATCTTCATGGCCGTCTTAGGAGGAGAAAAATAGTCTTTTTGTCAGATAATTCCAGGAGTTTTAGGATGTATTTATTGTGGAGTCCCAGCTTTTATTACATCCAAAAACATGGGCCTAGCTTTTCTTGTGTCAGAAAGCAAATTATCTTCATGTGGTAAGTCTCTGCATTCTTGCTGTATCTGTACCACTTCCCCCAGCTCCCCCATATACATATACATTCACTTGTACATGTATGTTACTCTCTCTTTCACTCACACATGCAACATGTTTTCCCAGGCCTTTTTTTCTGGTGTCTTTCAAGGTTGAGTACTTGAAACTGTAGAGCACACAGTAAGGAGAGGTACCTGGAACTGGCCAATGGTTGAGTCTCCCTGTGCAGTGAATCATAGTATAGATAACCCTAGTTGGGGTTTTTTTTTTCTTTTTGTTTTTTATGAGTTTTTTTGGTGCTTTTTTTTTTTTTTTTGAGGCAAGGTCTCGCTCTGTTGCCTAGGCTGGCGTGTAGTGAGTGGCCTGATACCCTGGATTCAAGCGATCTTCCCCCCTCAACCCCAACCCACACCCCACCCCCCTTGAGTAGCTGGGACTACAGGCACATCCCACCATGCCTGTCTAATTTTTGTATTTTTATAGAAACAGGTTTTTGCCATATTACCCAGGCTGGTCTCGAATTCCTGAGCTCAAGTGGTCCTCCCTCCTCAGCCTCCTAAAGTGCCGGATTATGGACATGCACCACAGCATCCAGCCAGTTTTTTTTTTTTTTTTTTTTTTAAGATAGGGTCTCACTTTGTCACACAGTCTTGAGTGCAGTAGCATGATCATAGCTCATTGTAACCACCAACTCCTGGGCTCAAGTTATCTTCGCGCCCTAGCCTCCCAAGTAGCTGGGACTACAGGTGTGCATCATCACACCCAGCTAATTTTTGAATACTTTTGTAGAGACAGAGTCTCACTATGTTGCCCAGGCTGGTCTCAAACTCTCAGCCTCAAGTGATCTTCCCACATTGGCCTCCCAAAGTGCTGGGACTACTGTTGTGAGCCACCACACCCAGCTTATAACCCAAGTTGTGTGTGTGTGTGTGTGATGGAGTTTCACTCTTTTTGCCCAGGCTGAGTGCAATGGTACGATCTAGGCTCACTGCACCCTCCACCTCCTGGGTTCAAGTGATTCTCTTGCCTCTCTACTCCCCTAAGTAGCTGAGATTACAGGCGCGTGCCTGCACACCCAGCTAGTTTTGTATTTTTAGTAGAGATGGGGTTTCACCATGGTAGCCCGGCTGGTCTCGAACTCCTGACCTCAGGTGATCTGCCCACCTCTGCCTCCCAAAGTGCTGGGATTATAGGCATGAGCCATCACACCCAGCCAACCCTAGCTTTTAAAACATTCAGTTTAGGCTGGGTGCGGTGGCTCACGCCTGTAATCCCAGCACTTTGAGAGGCCGAGGCGGGTGGATCATGAGGCGGGTGGATCACGAGGTCAGGAGATCGAGACCATCCTGGCTAACACCGTGAAACCCCGTCTCTACTAAAAATACAAAAAATTTGCCAGGCATGGTGGCAGGTGCCTGTAGTCCCCGCTACTTGGGAGGCTGAGGCAGGAGAATGGTGTGAACCCGGGAGGTGGAGGTTGCAGTGAGCCGCGATTGCTCCACTGCACTCCAGCCTGGGCGACAGAGCGAGACTTCGTCTGAAAAAAAAAAAAAAAGTCAGTTTATAAATAGTTCAGAAACAGCTGATAGCTGTGAGAATTAGTCTTCAGTGTTGAGTTGCCCTCCAAATGACCTTGCTGAGTTTGTTGTAGGACTCATCCAAAGCAGAATCTCTAAGAAGCTGGACTGGTGGAGAATGAAGAAGAAAGAAATGGTTATAACTTTACACATGTTACTTTCTCTACCTTTTGATGTCTACTTACTGGTCTTGTCCCAGGATTATTTTTTAAAACCATGCTCCATAAGCAAACATTATTCTTGGTAGTAACATTAAAAACTCTTAGTAAGCGGTGGCTCACACCTGTAATCCCAGCACTTTGAGGCCGAGGCGGGTGGATCACCTGAGGTCAGGAGTTTGAGACCAGCCTGGCCAACATGGTGAAACCTTGTCTCTACTAAAAATATGAAAAAATTAGCCAGGTGTGGTGGCACACACCTGTGTTCCTAGCTACTTGAGAGGCTGAAGCGTGAGAATTGCTTGAACCCAGATGGTAGAGGTTGCAGTGAGCTGAGATCGTGCCACTGCACTCCAACCTGGGCAACAGAGTGAGACTCTTGTCTCCATTTTAAAAAAAAGCAAAAACAACCACAAAAAAACCTCTTAGGAAACCTCAGGCAGATTCCCTAGAGGTCCTGGAAGAGGAGAAAAATACTTGTAAGTTATAGGTAGTGCCAGCAGAATATTATATAAGTAGGTTCATTTTTAGATTGTTTGCAAGAAAAGGATATGGGTGAATGAGATCATGAACCTGAGCAACCTACTTGGCTTTTATAATCTCTCTTACCCTTCTGGAGCAAGTAACTTATCCCACTTCATTGGGGAGAAAGAGTTAAAGAAATGTTAGGTGGATTCTTCACATTCCAAATTGGAACTTTTAAATGCATTTTTCTTTCCTTTCCTTCTCTTTCCCTTTCCTGACAAGGTCTCACTCTGTTGCCCTGGCTGGAGTGCAGTGTGGCATGATGTCCGTTCACTGCAACCTCCACCTCCCAGGCTCAAGCAATCCTCGCTCCTTAGCCACCCAAGTAGCTGGGACTATAGGCGTGTGCCCCTGTACCCAGCTAATTGTTTTGTATTTTTAGTAGAGACGAGGTTTCGCTGTGTCACCCAGGCTGGTCTCTAACTCCTGGACTCAAGTGATCTGCCCGCCTTTGCCTCCTAAAGTGCTGGGAATACAGGCATGAGCCACCATGCCGGGCCCAACATTTTTCATAGAAACTTTGTTAACACTCTTTTTTTTTTTCCTGTTTTCAGTCCTGCTCCTGTAGACATTTTGATAAGATCTTATTAATGGTATTGGAATTGTATTATATTGCAGATAGATACAGTATATGTTAAAAAGTCAGACTTCCTGAAAACCCAACTTTTTTTTTTTTTTTTTTTTTTTTTAAAGGCAGAGTCTCGCTCTGTTGCCCAGGCTGGAGTAAAGTGGCGCAATCTTGGCTCGCTGCAACCTCCGTCTCCTGGGTTCAAGCGATTCTCCTGCCTCAGCCTCCTGAGTAGCTGGGACTACATGCTGGCTAATTTTTGTATTTTTAGTAGAGATGGGGTTTCGCCATGTTGGCCAGATGGTCTCGATCTGCTGACCTTGTGATTCACCCGCCTTGGCCTCCCAAAGTGCCGGGATTATGGGCGTGAGCCACCACACCTAGCCAAACCCAACAATTTTTTTAAAAATGTTATTTTGGGGTGATTTTTAAAAATCATTTAAAGAGATGAGGTGTTGCTGTGTTGCCCAGGCTGACGTACATTGGCTGTTCACAAGCACTGTCATAGTGCACTATTTCCTCAAATTCCTGGGCTCAAGCAGTCCTCCCCACTTGGCTTCCTGAGTAGCTGGGACTATTAGGCATGGGCCGCTGTACCCAACATGGGGTGATCTTTTGAAACACAATCCTCTGGAAGCTTGGGACTCCAGATATACTGACAGCTATTTCCACTTAGCCCCGAGATGTATAAGAATGAACAAAACTGCTGGGCACAGTGGCTCACGCCTGTAATCCCAGCACTTTGGGAGGCCGAGGCGGGAGGATCATCTGAGGTCAGGAGTTCGAGACCAGCCTGGCCAACATGGTGAAACCCTGTCTCTACTAAAAATACAAAAATTAGCCAGGCGTGGTGGCGGGTGCCTGTAATCCTAGCTACTTGGAAGGCTGAGGCAGGAGAATCGCTTGAACCCAGGAGGTAGAGTTGTAGTGAGCAGAGATTGCACCACTGCACTCCAGCCTGGGTGACAGACCAAGACCTTGTCTCAAAAAAAAAACAAACAAAAAAACAAAAAAAAAAAGCAAAACCGATAGATTCCCAGCAAGGAGAACCATAGTTTCTTTGATAGTGATAAAAAGAGGAAAGGGCTGGGTGCAGTGGTGCATGCCTGTATTCCCAGCACTTTGGGAGGCCAAAGTGGGAGAATTGCTTGAGGGCAAGAATTTGAGCTCTGTCTGGGCAACATAGTGGTACCTCATCTCTACCAAGAAAAAATGAAAGAATTTGAAAGCAGAAGGCAAGAGAAGTTCTTAACATAATAGCCATGTCATAATAGCCTAAATATCTTATTTTGCCATCAGTTGGGCAAGTTACGATACCTGTGAAATAAGGTATGTATGAAACCAACACTACTAATGTTTTAGAATTCTAGAGAGACACAGCAGTTGTCTGCTTAGTTGTTTTTACTACTGGGATAAGGATTAGGAGCTTTATAGCTTCTGAGAATATGCCAGACTAAGTCACAAGTGATGTCACACCAAGTGGGTCTTTTAATAATATCTCTCTAATAGGTAGGAGTTCATACTTAACTACCCCAAATATTGTAAATTATATATATGTTTAGGAAAAGAGCAAAATAATTTCTCTCTTGGAATGTTTAACAAATGAGGCCAGAATCCTAGTTCATTAGTTTTTTAAAATTAAGAAATGAGGCAGGGCATGGTGGCTCACGCCTGTAATCTCAGCACTTTGGGAGGCCAAGGCAGGAGAATCACTTGAGCCTAGAAGTTTAAGACCAGCCTTAGTAACATAAGGAGACCCCTTCTCTACAAAAAATTTAAAAACTAGCTACTCAGGAGGCTGAGGTGGGAGGATCGCTTGGGCCTAGGAGATTGAGACTGCAGTGAGCCACAAATGATTGCACCACTGCACTCCTTCCTGGGTGACAGAGTGAGACCCTGTCTCAAAAAACAAAAGAAAAAATAAATACAAGAAAAGAGGCTGGACGCGGTGGCTCATGCCTGTAATCCCAGCTCTTTGGGAGGCTGAGGCGGGCGGATCACGAGGTCAGGAGTTTGAGACCAGTCTGGCCAACATAGTGAAACCCCGTCTCTAAATACAAAAATTAGCCGGGTGTGGTGGCGGGCACATGTAATCCCAGCAACTCAGGAGGCAGGAGAATCACTTAAACCTGAGAGGAGGTTGCAGTGCGCCGAGATTGCACCATTGCCCTCCAGCCCCGGTGACAGTGCAAGACTCCGACTCAAAAGAAAAACAGAGAGGCTTTGGCTTTGCCTTATCTGTGCTATCTACCTAATACCGGTGTGTTTATATCTGGGAATAAAATAATCATTTAAAGTTGTTCTCAGATATAACTTCCTGATAAATGGCATACAGTTCCCAAATCTCCATCCAGTAATATCTCTGTCTTGGTACTGGGCAGTTCCTAAGCAGTTAAGTGGCACTCATTTGAGCAAGGAAGAATTCCTTACCTTAGAAATAATCTGTAATGTATATATCCAGCCAGGACCAGAATAGAAAGAGCTTCTAAATGAAAAATCTTCCAGATTCCAAAATTACCGGTGTTTTATTTTTTATTTATTTTTAATTTTTTTGAGACAGAGTTTTGCTCTGTCACCCAGGCTGGAGTGTAGTGGTGCAATCTCGGCTCATTGCAACCTCCACCTCCCAGGTTCATGTGATTCTTGTGCTTCAGCCTCCTGAGTAGCTGGGATTACAGGCGTATACTACCATGCCCGGCTAATTTTTGTATTTTTAGTAGAGACAGGGTTTCTCCACGTTGGCCAGGCTGGTCTCAAACTTTTGGCCTCAAGTGATCTGCCCACCCAAAATGACCCATGTTAATCATAGAGGGGGAGTATAAAGGAATATAGAAATGAGAAGTAAATCACGCTTTAAAAATGAATTCAGGCCGGGCACAGTCGCTCATGCCTGTAATCTCAACACTTTGGGAGGCCAAGGCAGGCAGATCACGAGGTCAGGAGTTTGAGACCAGCCTGGCCAAAACGGTGAAACCCCGTCTCTACTAAAAATACAAAAAAAAATTAGCCAGGCGCGGTGCCGGGTACCTGTAATCCCAGCTACTGAGGCTGAGGCAGGAGAATCACTTGAACCCAGGAGACGGAGGTTCCAGTGAGCCGAGATCGCGCCATTGCACTCCAGCCTGGGCGACAGAGCCAGAATCCATCTCAAAAAAAAGAATGCAGACACTTTATTCAGGCCTGTTACTCCTCATATTTGGGGTTAGAGAATGAAAGGCTCTTTTCTCCCTCTAGTGGCTTTTTCTGTATTTCTACCTTCTCAGCTTGCTGTGTCTGTGGCCAGCAATCTAGACAAATTTAATAGTTCACAAGATAGTCATTCTTACCTTTCTATCCTCCTATTCTATTTCCTTACCTAAGTTTGGTTGATTTTAGCAACTCAGATTTACCCTGTTAGGAAATTGCTTATTCCAGTGATCGGGGTTCCCTGTTCAAAAGTATCCATGTCCTGGCTGGGCATGGTGGCTCACACCTGTAATTCCAACACTTTGGGTGGCTGAGGCAGCAGGATCACTTGAACCCAGGAATTCAAGACTAGCCTGGGCAGCATAGCAAGACCCCCACCCCTTACAAAAAAATAAAAAATTAGCCAGGCACAGTGGTGTGCACCTGTAGTCCCAGCTACTCAGGAGGCTGAGGCGGGGGGAATCTCTTGGGGCCAGGAGTTTGAGAATGTAGCAAGCACCACTACACTCCAGCCTGGGCAATAGAGTGAGACCCTGTCTCAAAAAAAAAAAAAAAAAAAAAAAAAAAAAAAAATTCCATGTGCCAACAGCAACTAGGACAAGAAACCCTGAGAAGTGGACAGCTAGCGATCTGTGATCATTAAGGGTTTAAGTTGATTGTTTAAGGCCAAAGGGGAGGCCAAGGCGGGAGGGTCGCTTAAGACCAGCTTGGGCAACATAGTAAGACCCTGTCTCTACAAAAAGTACAAAAATTAGCCGGGCGTAGCGGCACATGCCTGTAGTCCCAGTTACTCAGGAGGCTGAGGTGGGAGGATCGCTTGAGCTCAGGAGGTCAAGGCTGCAGTGAGCTGTGATCGGGCCACTGGACTCCAGCCTGGGTGACAGAGTGAGACCCTGTCTCAAGAGGGAAAAAAAAAAGGACCAAAGAACAATTGCCCTCGACCTATATACTACCAACTACGCTGACAATCTCAAGGAAAGTAGGATCTGGGAATGTATCTTTGAAATTAGAGGAGAATTAGAAGATACAGTCACGGATTTGGGAACCTGAGGCAGTTAGAGTTTCCGGAATTCTTGTTACCTAGGTCTTAAGCAGTATGTGCCATTTTTTATCATCTTACACAAATAAGCATGATGCTTTTAAGGCTAACCCCAGAATGACCTAAATGAGAGTTATCTAGTAAATAGGATTAGGAGTAAGAGGAGTCAGTGCAGGAGATTTAGATTTCAAAGTAATTTCTAGACTCTTTTTGAGGTAAGATGCTGGATAAAACTCTGGTAAGTAGATGCAAGTTCAATATATTTGGTTCTGGAGGTTTAATCCTTTTCTGTAAGGCTGTAGACAATATTCTTGGCACTATTCCCTCAAATTATTAATACTTCCTTCTTTTGTGTACTCTTCAGTACCTACTCTTGACAGGATAGACTATTCTTTTTTTTTTTTTTTTTTGAGACGGGAACCTCGCTCTGTTGCCCAGGCTGGAGTGCAGTGGTGCAATCTTGGCTCACTGCAACCTCTGCCTCCCAGGTTCAAGAGATTCTCCTGCCTCAGCTTCCTGAGTAGCTGGGACTACAGGTGCGCGCCGCCATGCGCAGCTAATTTTTTATTTTTAGTAGAGACGGGGTTTCACCATGTCGGTCAGGCTGGTCTCGAACTCCTGACCCCAGGTGTTCCACCCGCCTCGGTCTCCCAAAGTGCTAGGATTACAGGAGTGAGCCACCGCACCCGGCCCCCCTTGGATTTTTTTAATTCAGCATAGAAGTTTTCTTAACTTTTGTTGGAAATAGCTTATTTTTTCCCTTTCTTGTCTAGTGAGCCAGAGCGAGGAAGGCTAACTCCCTCACCAGACATCATTGTTTT
Source organism: Homo sapiens (assembly GCF_000001405.40). Lineage (NCBI taxonomy): Eukaryota > Metazoa > Chordata > Mammalia > Primates > Hominidae > Homo > Homo sapiens. Next base: position 136,388 of record NW_003315905.1, on the reverse strand, counting down.
GTCTGACAATGAGGCTTCCAGTCCCCGTTCCAGTTCCAGAATGGAAGAAAGACTCAAAGCAGCCAACTTAGAGATGTTTAAGGTAAAAAGAAAGAAAAATTTCTTTCTTCTTGTTATGCTCCTTCTATTTTATTTAATTCCTCAAGAGATTTAGTTCTGTTTTTTGACTATTTACTCTTTGGATATAAATACCCATTGATGAAAACTTTATAGTAACTCTTGACTTCAAGGGCTTTCAAAAGGAACTATTAGAAGCAAGTGGAGACGACAGTTTGAAAAGCATATATGTAGGCCATTATACTCAGTGTTATTTATCTTTGGAAAATGAAAACAAAAGTTCATAATTAAGTCATATAAAGTAAACTCTTGGCTGTAAGGATACTTTCTGCACTCTAACCTAAGTAACTGAATATGAAGGGATTCCTAAGTTTTTATGTATATCTAGAGGAAATGTGGCTTTAAGAGATTTAGGAACATTATTTTAAAAGAAGACAATGTTTCTCTTTAGTCATTCTTCTTTTTGCCAGGAATCTGGCTGATTAGCATTTATACGTGGTCTGTCCTTTAATTCTGTAAGCATTTCTTTGAGTACCTACTGAATGCCAGGCACTGTGCCAGACTCCAGTGATACAAAGATAATCCTATTGCCACTTCTGCTTCTTGTGGAAGATGAAGGTTTCAGAGCTAAGAAGTAAAGATTGTCTCTTGCAGGAAGGAATTCTGGGTACCTTGCTGCCATAGCTGAAAGTCTTCTTGTTTCCTTAGGGGAAAGGCATTGAGGAGCGGCAGCAGCTTATCAAGCAGCTGAGGGATGAGCTACGATTGGAAGAAGCCCGACTGGTCCTGTTAAAGAAACTGAGACAGAGTCAGCTACAGAAAGAGAATGTGGTCCAGAAGGTAATGTGCCCTAGAAATAAGGGACTAAGGGAAAGGAAAGAAAAACTGGTTTGAGAGTAGGTTCCCCCAGGTAGGTTCAGTTGGGTGGCTCATTTCTTCTCTGGGTCCGTAGTTTTTTAGTCTGTAGTAGTAGTGATTTTTTTTTTAATCTTAGGCCTTAAGAAAACCTTGACTCCCAGCCAGGTGCGGTGGCTCACGCCTGTAACTCCAGCACTTTGGGAGGCCGAGGCGGGTGGATCACGAGGTCAGGAGATCGAGAGCATCCTGGCTAACATGGTGAAACCCCATCTCTACTAAAAATACAAAAAATTAGCCGGTCATGGTGGCGGGCGCCTGTAGTCCCAGCTACTCGGGAGGCTGAGGCAGGAGAATGGCGTGAACCCGGGAGGTGGAGCTTGCAGTGAGCCGAGATCAGGCCACTGCACTCCAGCCTGGGCGACAGAGCAAGACTCTGTCTCAAAAAAAAAAAAAAAAAAGAAAACCTTGACTCCCTTTTTCTGGTTTTTCCTCCTGATTGACAAGAACCTCACACTGACCAGGAATTTTTAAAGTCTAGAAATGTACCAAATTTCCACCTGTGATTATTGGCCACAGTCTTATTTTCTCTTCCCTCTCCCAGACTCCAGTTGTACAGAATGCAGCATCTATTGTTCAGCCATCTCCTGCCCATGTGGGACAGCAGGGCCTATCTAAGCTTCCCTCTCGGCCTGGGGCCCAAGGGGTTGAACCTCAAAATTTGAGAACATTACAGGTATGTGACCCATAGTGGGATCTTAGTGTTGGAGGGCCGTGTCTAATCCTGTCTCTGTTTTTGGGCTTTTGTGAAGATTATAGAAGAACCTGGCCATGATAGAGGTGTTATTACTACTGATTGTTCTGTTGGCCCATTATGGCATGATTTAGTCTTCAGTAGAAGGATGAGTAACTTTCATGTTTCCACTGTAGTTTTTCTTGTCTAGAGAATGCTTCCAGCTTCTCTAGAGAAGGGGTAGATAGTTTTCTATCTAACCCTATAGGATTAGATAGTTTATACCAAAAAAAGCCAAGGACTTCCCAGCCACTAATCAGGGTTTACAATGATGGTAGATTTATCCCATAGACCATTAAATGAAATTACCAAGTCTGGCTGTGTTCCTGTGTTTCTACTTAGCTATGTATTATAGGCAGTGTTTTCCCTTTTGCATTTTGTGCTGTATTATACACAGCGTACAACCTGTGATTAGTTCTTTTCCTCTTCTTCCCCTCCAGGGTCACAGTGTCATCCGTTCAGCTACCAATACCACCCTTCCACACATGTTGATGTCTCAACGTGTTATTGCACCAAACCCAGCCCAGCTACAGGGTCAGCGGGGCCCGCCTAAGCCTGGCCTTGTACGCACCACAACACCCAACATGAATCCCGCCATCAATTATCAACCGGTAAGAGAGAGCTGAGCCCTAATGTGGAAACAGAGAAATCCCTTTGTTTGCTTTGCTTGTCGAAAGGGCCATAGGTTTTAAGTTTTTATACATAGATAAACTCTAGGACAAAAATGGTTATTTTGGTAGGGATTTAATTGAGAGCAGTCCCAAAAGTAGAAGCTTTGAGGAATTATATTAAAATAGTAGTGGAGGAGAGAGGTTATACAGCAGAGCAGCAGTAAGCTAAAAATCTGCCTAGAAGAGAGTGATCTAGGGAATAAGAAGCACAAGGATGTGTGACAGAAAGCAAAATCTTATTTCTGTCTCTTTTTTGTTTGTTTGTTTGTTTGTTTTTTGAGCTGGAATCTCACTGTGTTGCCCAGGCTAGAGTGCAGTGGCATGATCTTGGCTCACTGCAACCTCTGCCTCCTGGGTTCAAGGAATTTCCAGCTAATTTTGTGTATTTTTCGTAGAGACAGAGTTTGACCATGTTGGCCAGGCTGGTCTCAAACTCCTCACCTCAAGTGATCTGCCTACCTCGGCCTCCCAAAGTGCTGAGATTATAGGCGTGAGCCACCACGCGTGGCCTTTATTTCTCTCTTAGCAATGTTAGCTCATGGTCATCATCATTCTCCTTTCCTATGTGTCAGAGTTCTTTTTCAATAAATAAGTTGACCACCTCCTATTTTTGGAGAAGCTAAGTAGTCCAAACCAGGATCAGACAGTGTCCTCTGCCAAGAACGTAAGAATTGGCCCTTTCTCCTGCATACCATGATTGACCGCATTCTCAATCTATTTCAGCAGTCAAGTTCTTCTGTTCCATGTCAGCGTACAACATCCTCTGCCATCTATATGAACCTTGCTTCTCATATCCAGCCAGGGACGGTGAACAGAGTGTCCTCGCCACTTCCTAGCCCCAGCGCCATGACTGATGCTGCCAACTCACAGGCTGCAGCCAAATTGGCTCTTCGCAAACAGCTGGAAAAGACACTCCTGGAGATCCCACCCCCTAAACCTCCTGCTCCCTTACTTCATTTCTTGCCTAGTGCAGCCAATAGCGAGTTCATCTACATGGTAGGCTTGGAAGAAGTCGTACAGAGTGTCATTGACAGCCAAGGTAAGGCTGTTTCTTCTAATCAATCTATTTAAGCAAGTGGTTGCCAAGCCTGATTGACATAGGCAGAGTATCAGAGGGTACTGTACAATATTAAATAACTTCTCCTTCCTGTTACCAAACCACCTCCCTCCCTTCTTTACAGCTGTTTGGGAGCAACATGTTAGAAGCGGAGTGTGTGTGTGTGTGTGTGTGTGTGTGTGTGTGTGTGTGTGTTTTGTTTGAGATGCAGTCTCGCTCTGTTGCCCAGGCTGGAGTGCAGTGGCACAATCTCAGTTCACTGCAACCTCTGCCTCCTGAGTTCAAGCAATTCTCCTGCCTCAGCCTCCCACGTAGCTGGGACTACAGGCACGTGGCACCACACCCGGTTAATTTTTGTATTTTTAGTAGAGACGGGGTTTCATCATGTTGGCCAGGCTGGTCTCGAACTCCTGACATCAGGTGATCTGCCCACCTCGGCTTCCTAAAGTGCTAGGATTACAGGCATGAGCCACTGTACCCCGTCAGCCGGCCGGGGCCAGCCTGCCTATGTATCTATCTATCTATCTAATCTATCATCTATCTAATCTATCTATTCTATTCTATCTAATCTATCATCTATCTTTCGGCTTGTTTTTTTTTCCCTTCAGCAGGTCAGCTATCATTGAGGCTTGATATTTTTATTTGGATTTTATCTATCTTGTGTGTTTTTTGTAGGACAGTAAGTTCTCACTTAACATCATCAATAGTTTCTTAGAAACTGTGACTTTAAGTGAAACAACTACGGTGAAGGGGGTCCTCAAATAACATCATTTTATTATAACATTAGTAAAAAAAAAAAGATTGTTTTTGTTGTATGTTGTTTCACTTAAATCATAGTCTCTGAGAACCTGTCAACAACATTGAGGACTGACTGTATTTTGTTTAGTTCTTTTAAATGGTGGCTAGCATGATGCTTGCATAATTTGATAAATAGAACTTCTCTTTTCTTTTTTTTTTTTTTGTTTTTTTTTTTTGTTTTTTTGAGACAGGGTCTGACCCTGTTGTCCAGGCTTGAGTGCAGTGGTGTGATCTCAGCTCTCTGCAGCCTTGACCTCCCAGGCTCAAGCCATCCTCCCATTTCAGCCTCCTGAGTAACTGGGACCACTGGTATGCACCACCATGCCAGTTTTTTTCTTTGTTGGTTTTTTTTTTTTTTTTTTTTTTTTTTTTTTTGAGACAGAGTCTTACTCTGTCACCCAGGCTGGAGTACAGTGGCATGATCTTAGCTGGCTGACTACCTCTGCCTCTTGGTTTCAAGCAATTCTTTTTTTTTTTTTGAGATGGAATCTTGCTCTGTTGCCCAGGCTAGAGAGTGCAATGGCATGATCTCAGCTCACTGCAACCTCCACCTCCTGGGTTCAAGCAATATTCCTGCCTCAGCCTCCTGAGTAGCTGGGATTACAGGTGCCTGCCACCACACCTGGCCAATTTTTGTGTTTTTCTTAGAGACGGGGTTTCACAATGTTGGTCAGGCTGGTCTCGAACTCCTGACCTCAGGTGATCCACCTGCCTCGGCTTCCCAAAGTGCTGTGGTTACAGGCATGAGCCACTGTGCCCGGCGCAAGCAATTCTTTTGTCTCAGCTTCCAAAGTAGCTGGAATTACAGATGTGTGCCATCACACCTAGCTAATTATTTCTGTTTTTAGTAGAGATAGGGTTTTGCTATGTGGGCCAGGCTGGTCTCAAACTCCTGGCCTCAAGTGATCTGCCTGCCTCAGCCTCCCAAAGTGTTGGGATCACAGGTGTGAGCCACCATGCCTGGCCTGGAACTTCTGTTTTTAATGTGAGTGTTTTTGCAACATTGTACTGAATTACTGTGTTTAGTCTTCTGTGAATGCTTACAGTTGAGAAACACACACTTACATAGATAACTAAGAAAGACCTTATAAAAAGCTGTAAACCAATACTAAACCATACTATAGAGTATTAACAACATACAGTCTAGACTAACTGAAGTTATTAAACTTGAATTTCTAAACAGGTAGACTTCTGGGAAAGCCTGCCAGTAAAGTGCCCAGAGGAGTCAGTATTAGCTATAAATAGATCACAAAGTGAATAATTCAGACACTGATAACTATTTAAAACTATAAATGTATATGACAGGGATAAGTACAGTCTTTGGTAAGGAGATATTAAGAAGCAAAAGTATTGGTTGAGTTAGAGTCCTTTGACTTTGAATTGACACAGTATTTTCTTCTCAGTGTGATACAGTAGAAAATCAGGAAACATCCCAGCTTTATCAGTTAGAAGCTACCTTTGTTGTTGTTGTTGTTGTTTGAGACTGAGTCTTGTTCTGTTACCCAGGCTGGAGTGCACTGGCACAATTTCGGCTCACTGCAACCTCTACTTCCCAGGTTCAAGCGATTCTCCTGCCTCAGCCTCCTGAGTAGCTGGGATTACAGGCGCGTGCCACCACGCCCGCCTAATTTTTTTGTATTTTTAGTAAAGACGGGTTTTCACTATGTTGGTCAGGCTGTTCTTGAACTCCTGACCTCGTTAGCCGTCCACCTCAGCCTCCCAAAGTGCTGGGACTGTAGGGGTGAGCCACCGCACCCAGCCAGAAGCTACATTTCTTCGACTTCTGTCCTCATTTGTAAATGAGGATGGTACTGTCTGAATTCCCTAAAGTGATACTGTTATAATCAGATGAAATAAAAGTATTTTGTAAATTATAGAATATCCTTTTTGTAAAGTCTCTTTCTTTAATTCAACAGAATAAACTCCTGGAAAAGATCTATTTGATTAAGAGAAACAGAGGAGATAGGAAATGTAAAGCCACTGACTATTTTTGTTGGTATCTAGGCAAAAGCTGTGCCTCACTTCTGCGGGTTGAACCCTTTGTATGTGCCCAGTGCCGCACAGATTTCACCCCTCACTGGAAGCAAGAAAAGAATGGTAAGATTCTATGTGAGCAGTGTATGACCTCCAACCAGAAAAAGGCTCTAAAAGCTGAACACACCAACCGGCTGAAAAATGCATTTGTGAAAGCCCTACAGCAGGAACAGGTAAGAATTCTGACTGCTCACTGGCCACCTGTCCCAGTTTGTTTTTTCCAAAGGGTCGCGCCTTCTAGTTTGCAGGAGTGGTTCATGTGATCCCTACAGGTCCACAGGTTCCCTTTTTGTCTCCTTATCATTGTGTCCTATTTCCATTTGAGCGAGTATTCTGATTAAGAACATGGTAAAATATAATGGCTGAGGTTAACAGAAAGGGACAGAAAGCTTGGGACTCTTGGCTTTTCCATAGCACTCTATTCTCATCTTCATTTTTTCCTAAAACAAATAATAGATTTTGGTGGGAGGAATTTATATTTGTGCTATAAATCTCTTTGAAACAGTTATTTGCAGTGCGTGTTTGATAAGAAATGACGAAAGAAAGAGTGAATTATGAAGTAGCCCAGTGAAGAGTAGTGGTTCTAGAGTATGTGAACATCTCATGTAGCAGTTATAGGATGAGAATATCTTAGAGAAGGAAAAATGTGTTGGGAAACTCAGATCCTTTTCTTCCTATTTCCCACTCCACCCATCAGAGTCCCTTGTTTGAGTAGCATCATGGACTTTTTGGAAGATCGGGTAGGCAGGAGTCAAAAATAAAACCCCATTTATGCTCTAGGACTGGTGGTAAAAAATAAATAAATAAAAATTTTTAAAAAGAGAAAAGAAAAAGTGATAAAATAAAACCCCAGTAATTCATCAGCCTTAATTATATCAGTTGGTTCATCACCTCCAGCCAACTTCTTAGAGCCAGCTTTCCTGGAGAAAGAGAGGAGGATCCCTTGATCATTGAAGCAAGTTAGCTGCTTATACCCAGAAATCTCAGTGTACCACCCCCACCAAACTCTTTTGCCTTTTCCATATTCCACCAACTAGCCAACAACATTAGAGGTAAGAACACCTCCAGGTTTTCTGGTTAGGAAATTGGGTGGGCCAGGTGCAGTGATTCATGCCTGTAATCCCAGCACTTTGGGGAGGCTAAGGTGAGAGGATTGCTTGAGCCCAGGAGTGCCAGACCAGCCTGGGCAACAAAGTCAGATTGTGTCTCTGTTTAAAAAAAAAAAAAAAAAAGGAAATTGGGTATTGGGTGCTGTCCTGCTCAATCACCTGATGTGATGACTCCCAACAGGAAATTGAACAGCGATTACAGCAGCAGGCAGCCCTCTCCCCCACTACGGCTCCAGCTGTGTCCAGTGTCAGTAAACAAGAGACCATCATGAGACATCATACGCTTCGGCAGGTAAGGAACTTTTTGCCTGATCCTGATTTCTTTAGAAGATTTATCAGCCATTTATCACAATTTGTCCTTTCTATTGTGGGAAATCATAGTCTTCTTCTGTACTCCCTTATCTTTGCCCCCGCTTAACATTCTATCATATCAAAGTTGTATCCACTGTCTCCTCATCATTGCAGGCTCCACAGCCCCAGAGCAGCCTCCAGCGTGGCATACCCACATCTGCCCGCTCCATGCTTTCAAACTTTGCACAGGCACCCCAGTTGTCTGTGCCAGGTGGCCTCCTTGGTATGCCAGGTAAGAAGGATTAATCTGAAAATGTTTCTCATGGGTCAGCTGTTAGTTAGTATACAGTTCTGTAGCAGCCCCTTTAAGGGAATTGTTCCTTTACTTTCTGTTCTTTCTTTAGGGCATACACTCTCACTCTTCTGTTACTCAGCAAATGTTTGCTAAATTCATATTAAGTGCCACCCACAATGCACTAGGGTTTTGGTGGTGAAAATGACCCAGATCCTACCATTATCAATTTAACTTTTAATATCCCTTCAGTAGACATGTGGTTATTGATCTCTTTTGGCCGGGACAGCAGGGTTAACTGTTCTGTTTGAATGATCCAGGGATGCTTCTGCACAATCTGCAGCCTCAAAATCAAAGCTGATTTAATGATTCTATCTCTCTGTCTTATTCATCTTCCTCTCACCACTGTTTCACTTGTCTCTCCCATACCATCAGAAGCATGTTCATTATTCTTGGTAGGACCGAAATTTCAGGAAGTCCCCTTTTCCTAAAGCTTAGGAATATGAGTGGGGATTGAAATAAAGTTGCTGTGCAGGGCGCGGTGGCTCACACCTGTAATCCCAGCACTTTGAGAGGCCGAGGCAGGCGAATCACTTGAGATCAGGAGTTCAAGACCAGGCTGACCAACATGGTGAAACCCTGTCTCTACTAAAAATACAAAAAATTGGCTGGGCGTGGTGGCTCATGCCTATAATCCCAGCACTTTGGGAGGCCAAAGCGAGTGGATTACCTGAGGTCAGGAGTTCAAGACCACCCTGGCCAACATGATGAAACCCCATCTCTACTGAAAATACAAAAAATTAGCCCGGCGTGGTGGCTGGTGCCTGTAATCCCAGCTACTCGGGAGGCTGAGGCAGGAGAATCGCTTGAACTTGGGAGGTGGGGCTTGCAGTGAGCTGAGATTGTGCCACTGCACCTCCAGCCTGGGCAACGAGCGAAATTCTGTCTCAGATAAATAAGCAAACAAAATTAATTGGCTGGGTGCAGTGGGTCATGCCTGTAATCCCAGCACTTTGGGAGGCTGAGGCCGTTGGATCATTTGAGGTCAGGAGTTCAAGACTAGCCTGGCCAACATGGTGAAACCCCATCTCTACTAAAAATACAAAAAATAGCCGGGCAGTAGTGGCACGCGCCTATAATTCCAGCTACTCTGGAGGCTGAGGCAGGAGAATTGCTTGAGTCTGGGAGGCAGAGGTGAGCGGAGATCACACCACTGCACTCCAGCCTGGGTGACAGAATGAGACTGCATCTCAAAAAAGAAAAAGAAAGTTGCTGTTGAAATAAAGCTAACCAAGTGTGACCAGATACTGGTAAATTCTGCTTCCTTTCCATCTCCAACTCTGCAGCCCGAGGGTAGAGTGGAAGGGAATGTTATTTCCTCTTTTAATACCTGCCCTCCACTTTTGTCTCCTGGGTCCAGGTGTCAACATTGCATACTTGAATACTGGCATCGGAGGACACAAAGGCCCCAGTTTGGCAGACCGACAGCGTGAATACCTTTTAGACATGATCCCTCCCCGGTCTATATCGCAGTCCATCAGTGGACAGAAATAACGCCTGTTCCACTTGTACTGCCCCATCCTTGAATCCTTTATCCCTTTCCTCTTTCATTCCCCCAACTTCTGTCGCATGCAGTGCCTGTACTGGTGCCTACCATACACGGAAAGCAAAACAGAAAAACAGAAGACAAAAAATAGAGATCAGCAAGAAAACACACGCCCTGCCCTGCCACCTCCCCTTTATTTCACACTGCTGCGATCTGTTCTTCTGCCGCTCTGTCTTCTCTCTTCAGTTTTCTTTAACAGTGAGGTGGATCTTTACCTCTGATAGAGGTCAGAATGAGGTCCTGGGGAGAATCTAAGCCCTCCGATGTGTGTTTCTAAAGTTGTTTTATGCTATAATTATTACCATTTTTAATGATGTTGTGTGTCCTCCCTTTGTTCAGTGGACGGTTAAACCTTCCCCCACTCAACCAATCTTTTTCTTTTTCCTTTTCTTCCTTTTTTTTTTTTTTTTTTGTAAACACAAATGACATTCAGTTCAATGATACGAGCATTGCAGATTGCAGTAGGGGTCCCAGCTGCCAAGTAGGACATGACTAGGAGTGTTAGGGGCAGAAGTTTTGAATGCACTTAACCGGAGGAGGGCGCAGGGTGGGGGGTATCAAAGAAGGACGAATAGCACCCTACCTGTGGGTGTTTGGGGGCTGGACAATTTGGGTGGCAGTGTTTGGTACTGAAGTTGGGCTCTAAGAATGAGGGGAAAGAGCCTGGGGAGGAGCTTAAAACTCAACCACTCTGGAATTTACCCATAGAAGACGGGAAGAAAGAGGTATGAAGATGGGCTCAATTATGAGCCAGGGAGGATTGAAACTAGGTCCTGCCTTTCTGTATCTTGGGGAAATAAGACCGATCTCCTGACCCCATTGGGAACACGGAAGTCTATTCCAGGCCAACCAGCCCAAAATTATTTCATCTTGTATTCTTTGTAAAATTCTCCCTCACCCCACCCTGCTTTTAAAAATTCTAATCTATCCCCTCTAACCATAGCCCCATCTATAATACAGAGGAACGGCTGTTCCAAGGCTGTTTGCTGGGTGTCCCACAAGTTGGGTGGACATAAATGAGTCAAGTGACAACAGGAGGAAATAGACTTAGACGAAAGAAAGGATTTCTCTTCCAACAGTTGAGATTCGCATATTTGCCTATTCTTTCACCCTCTGAGTGCCAGGAGATGAGAGGCTGGGGGTACACAATCAGGTTGGAGTCCTGTCCTTACTCTGCTGCACCAGCTGCAGAACCAACTGCTCAAAGCCAAACAGCTCATGGCAAAACCAGCTTAGGACCTCTGCTGTACAAATAGTTGCTTCCCACTGCCCCCCGCCCGCCCCCAGAATGATATTAATTTTGCCTTTTTTTTTTTTTTTTTTTTAAGCGCTACTAATGTAGAGAATGAATTGAATTGTGCAATGTTGCTGTTCTGGGGACTGGGGAGATTAGCATCCCATTTGCCCACACTGTGGGAAGACGGAGTGGACCAGGCTGTTTTTGAAGTAAGGGAAGCCCCTTAAAGGTACGGGTTTCTGCTCTTCTCATAGTGTACACCCACCTGCCTCTCTGGCTCCAGAAGCTGCCAGAGTGCACTGGGGGGAATGTTCTCAGCAGAGAAGAATGAGGAGAAGTTTAATATTTTGCCCTTGAAAGTCACCTGAGGAAGTTTCCCCACTTTTATTTTTTAAAATTAAGTAATTTTTTAAAGAAGGCACTTTTAAAATTAACACACACATGAACTGCACACCTTCCCCATAAAATTTGGAGGTGGGGTGGGAGAAAGAGCTAAAATCAGGCTCAGTTCCCCTACTCTGGCCTCTACTCCCCACACCCCAGTGCCACTGTGGGTGACTATACTGGCCCTACGGGCCTTCCTGGCTTTTTTCTTTCCTCCCTTACCCCAAATTCATTGAGCACTTAAAGGAGCAGAGATGCAGCCAGTGTCTGGGCTCCCCCAGTGGTGAAATGATCTGGAAGCTAGATGCTAGTAACAGGTAGTGATTGGGTTTTTTGAGTATTTTTCCGGGGAATGTGGTACCCCTGACTGTAAGTGGTGGGAGAGGGAGGGGGGTTAATGGAACTGGGTCTGGGATTATTTTAAAATTATATATATATATATAAAGATATATTCTTACATCTTTTCTTTGCCCTCTGTGCTTTGAAAGCACTGGATAAATTGTTTGGTTTTGCTTTTCTCTCTTCCACAAAATTGGAAGCTTTTTTTAAAAATGTTTTCCCCACAAGTCATCTTGCCTTGTGGCATGTCTGTCTAGCCTCTTCCTCCCTCCCTCATGATGAAGTGCCATTTCTGTTACGTCTCCCTCTCCCCAAGCTCAGAGGTGCTCAGAGGTACGAGATGCCCAAGTTTGTCAGTTGAGATTAAAAGTAAGGAACAGAGAATGTGCAATACCGTCTGGCTGGGGGCTGTCCCTGCCCTGCCCTGAGCTGAGTCCTTTCCCTGGGAGCCAGGCCACCTTAGAATGGGGTTTGGAAGTAAGATGTATAGAGTTGGGGAATCATGGAGAAGGAAAGCCTATAGTCGAGTGCCTGCTTAGGTGCTGAGGTCACAGGGGAGATGGTGGAATCTTCCCTGTTTTTATCCCCTCAGGGTCAGTTACATAGAAGCTGCTTCTTGACTAGTATAGCTCGGTGACCCTTTGTTCAACCGCTGAGGTTTGATTTCTTACCCTTTCTTCTCCCCATTTTCATACTCTTCCCAGGGATTAGTGATGGAGGTGAGGTCTCCCTAATCATGGTAAAGTGTTAACCTTCCACCTCCTCCCTTCCCTCCTCCTTCCTCATCCTTCTGTCTTCCTCAATTCTCCGTCTCTTTTTTTTCATCACTGATTGCCTTGTGTCCCTCCAAGTCTACTTGTTACTATCCATCTCCAGGCTCTGGGCCGTGTAGACACTAAACCTCATGCCCTAAGGACAGGAGGAAAGACCCTCTGTTTGGAGCATTATTAGTAGAGTGAGGATCCCACCAGTTCTGCCTGGCTTCCTCCATCCCCAGAGGCACTAAAAGCAGTATTTTAAGGTTGGTGTCTTACTCCCTGGAAGCCTGAAATGGGTGGAATAGCGGTAAGGCTTGAGTAAAACTAGGGGACAGAGGTTCTTATTTGTCGATTTTATTTTATAATTTGACCACAGCATCTGAACTCCCTCTCTCCCTGGAATAAGTATTTTTCCCACATTTTTGGATATATGTATGGTAGACAATTTTTTTTTAAGACACAGAGATAAATGTTTTCCTGCTTTGGTTACCTTTCCTTTCCCCTTTAAAAGGAATTAGCTATAGAACTGCTTTGTAAAGATGCTTCTTGATATTTTACTTTTGTTCCTTTTCCCTAATCATTCCCTTTTCTCCCCACTCCTCCAGAAGGCATAACCCTTCTCTCCACACCCCCTACCCCCACCCCCGTCCTAGGCTCCCATCCTTTCCATCAAGACCTTCATTAGCTTATGATATTTGCTGCCGAGATGTTATAACAAGGACTCGTTCATGTATATAAGCTATTTCTTGATCCATTTAAAAGGAATTGTACATTGTGTAGAAAAAAAAAAAAACCTGAAAAAGAGAAAAAAAAGCCCTAGCCATGGATATTGTGAAACTGTGTTATGTCATTTTGTAATGTGCCCGTTTGTGTATGATCCGTGCAAAAGGGTTTCTGGGGAAGGGGAGGGGGTAGGGAGGCAGGGCTGTGGAGGGTGGGTAGGGGAGTGGGCCGGGCCCAGCACACTGAGACTGGCAGCTGCTCCAACCCCATCCCTCCTTAGAGATGCCACCTCCCCCACCACCCACCCCTAATTTGTGCCTTGCCTCCCCACCCTGGAGTAGTCCCTCCGGGTCACCAGCACTGCCTTGGCAGAGCCCACTCCCTACCCTAACCTGCCCACCCTCCCTATCCCCCAGCATTAGGTTGATACTGTGGGGAAGTGCTGGGGGCTGGGAGGTAGCCGAGGAATGGGGCAGTTCCCGGGGGCATCGAAACCAAGTATTATTATGAATTGTAATTGTATTTGCACTGTTTTTTTCCTCTGATTGCATCAGCATATATACAATATACCTATATAACAAAATTCAGTGTCAAGCTTTCTTATGCAAGGGATTTCCCCCACCCCACCTCCTCAAAAAAGAAAGAACCTAGTCTTATGGGCCTTTGAGGGTGGATTGTCAGGGGATGATAGAAAGGATTTTAATAAGTCATCCTGAGGAAATTTCACCTAGTGAGAGCCACATCCATCTGCACAGCCTTAGGCTGCGTGAACCGAGGTGAGGCTGAGCTCCTGTGAAAGCCAAGACCTCCTGGTCCAGGACTTTGTAGAGTAAAAAGAACCACCAACACAAAAGGGGTTGAGGGGGCTACAATCTGGAGACCTGGGGTCTCCTACTAACTTGCTATATGATCTTTGGTAGAGTTAATTTTCTGAGTATCAATTTTCTTATCTGTGAAGTGAAGAGGGGGATCATCTGGCCACCAAGTTTAAAATTCTATACTTCTCACCTGCCAAAACCAAAAAACAACTTGAGGTGAGGAAAGTGTTGGGCCCAGAAACCAGGGAGGAACTGAAAGTGACTCGCGTTGAAGTGGTTATGTGTATGACAATGCTCTTGGAGAACTGCCAGTCCTCTATGGTTACCCTTGATTTGGGAGAGGCAGCAGAGTCATGTCCAGGGCATCAGACCAGTGACATCTTTGCCTTTATGCCTCTAGTCATCTGAGGGCGGGGACTAGGCCTCAAGCCCCATCTCACAGCCAACCACAGAGCCCTTAAGGGTGGTTGACAATTGAATGCCCCAGGTTGGTGCTTTAGTTATTTACTCCCTTTGTGAGCTACAGGATGTGTAACTTTTCCCCCATCTTGGTGATAAAATAGGAGAGCGCAGACACAGCCCACATTTTGTCTCCTTTCCTCAGATTTCATCTGAACCCCGCTAAAGGCAGCTGTTTCACAGTCTGTCTCCTTCAGGGGCCCAATTTCCCCACAGCCTGGGCTGAGTACTCCTACTCTCTTCTTTAGGTTCTGGGCTGATAAAGCCTGGAGAGGGTACAGGGTGATGGGTGAAGCCCTGGTGAAGGTGAAAGGATAGATTGGGGTTGGGGGGTGGGGAGCAGGGAGGTGGGATGGGGAATGGCCTTCCCTGAATAGGGTGGGTGGGAGGGGAACAAGACCCTTTTGCACAACTCTCTTTAAGTTTCCTTTATTTCTTTTTTAACTCATTCTGATTTTCTGCATTGTGTTTGGGAAATAAAATGAAAAAACTAAGACCAATAGAAACTGGTTTTCAAAAAGGCAAATACACTCCCATCTGTTTCAGATGCTGCTGAGCATTTCAGCAGTGACAGATTCAAATAATAAGCTAATTTTTGGAGAAAGGATTAAAAGAAAAAAAAACTTTGTAATATTTATCACTTGCAAGCTATGTTTAATAAAGAAAGGAATGGTTTCTAAAACTTTCCTGTGGCTTGTGCTTTAGTTATGGGGCTGGGGGTGGCAGTTTGGCGGGAGAATTTTCAGGGTAATTGGGAGATGAGCTATGGCTGTCTTCCCTAGTCAGTCCAGCCACGGACTGAGTACCTTTGGTTTGTATCCTTCTCTTTGATTGTGATGATTGTTTAAAGCCCTGACCTACTTCTGTGTTCTTGTTCCCCTCCAGCTCTAGCTGGAGCCAGTATTCTGGAAGCCACCAACCCCACTTTAGTTATCTGATGACTTTAGGTCTAATGGTATCATGGGGAGGGGGCTGGGTCTCCATTCTCTCCTAGGGAAAGGTGTCCCCTAGCAGTGCTTGGCCCTTCCCACCACACTGCTCTGGTCTCTAGTGACAGAATCCTTTAGCCAGGCACAGTGCTGCATGCCTATAGCTACTCAGGAGGCTAAGGTGGGAGGATCACTTGAGCCAGGAGATCAGCCTGGGCAATGTAGTGAGACCCCATCTCTATAAAAGAAAATAAATAATCTTTTGTAACATGCTTGTTCCTCTAGACGGTTGCCTTATTTACCAGCAGGGGTTCACATTGCTGTTTTCTAGTAAACTACCGAATATAGTTCTTTAACAATCTGAATGCAGCATCCCCTGAAAGATCTGGAACTACACTTTCTCACCATCTCATCACTCCCCTCCCCCAAGTTTTCCTTTCAGCCCAAAGCATTAACCAGATCCTAATTTATTTTTTCCGTTTTGGTTATTTATTTCCAACAAAGCAGTTAGACCAGGCCCAACCAGAGAAGAGGATGTCATTTCCTCAAGGACTTGATGTTTGGGGCTATTCTTAGCCCTCTTGCTCCTCAGCCACGTTTTTTAGTTACAGCTGCTGCTGTGCCTTGTGCAGAGGGCACTATTGTGGAGGGCCAGAGCCCAGCCTTTCTGGAGTCTTGTCATTGGTACTAGCATTACTCTATAAGAGCACAGGAGACAGTTTTGGGGTCCTCTAAGCCATGGGCTTTCCTTCCCCCAAGACCCTTCCCTTTTTGGCACAATACTGGGCAGCCTTGGAGAGAGAGTGATTGAGGAAGTGGCTGGGGCTTTGGCTTTAGAGCATGGCAGAGCTGGATAAGGAGGGACTGTGGTGCTCTGGATGCCAATAGGCTGGTAGAGGGAGAAGTGGGAAAGAGGTGCTCTTCAGACCCCAAGAGTTGAGGGAGGGGAGATGGGGAGTGCTCCCCAGCCTCTGTGCTCATTCTACAGGCGATTCAAGACTGCCAAAACCCTGACTCAAACTAATCTCTTTCAAAAATAAAAATCAAATGGGTAAGGAGGACCCCCTGCGGAGGAGCCAGTGCTTTGGATCTGGGAAGGGGGAAATGGGTATTTGGTTGCTCAGAGAAGCTCATATGAGCTCAGATATTTAAGAGTCATGTTGTAGGGAGAAGGGGGGCAAGAAACTCTGCACCCCCTTTGCCCACCTGCTCACTCGGACCACAAGGAATGCAGGTCGCCTGTCCCTGGGCAGAGCTCAGCTTGGGCACGAGGAGACAGAGACAGATTTTAGACTGGAGGGCTTCAGGTTGTGAGATGGAGGTGATGACAGAGCCTCTTCCCCTGCCGCCATTTTGTGGGGAACCCTTAAAGCTAGGTGTCTTTGGGCAGGTTCATATTTGGATCAAGAAGAGGTGAATATACTGGATGGGGTTATGAGGCAGGAGTAACTGGGTTGGGGGTAACTCCCAGCTGGGCTTGGTTTAGTTTGAGGTTATTTGGTGTGTTGGGGGAAGGGATGCAGATTCTCCCATTTCTTGAGGTCTGGGAGGAACAGAGAAACCACACCCTCTTCTCTCCCACTATGGCCAGTCCTGCCCCTCCCCGGAGAGGAGCTGAGGGACTTTTGGTTCTTTCCTGACTCTGGGGTGACAGGGACAGGTGAGGTAGATTCTTTGGTGTATCTGGAGTTAGTGGCATCTCGGAGGGAGCCAACTTGGAGGGCCCTAGGCCAAGGCCAGCTGTTCCACAGTCACCTGAGGGTGAAGGAGGTCAGGCCTCTGGACCAAGGCCTCAAACACTCCAGTTTCCCCCACTCATTCCCCATCACTGAATCCGCCTCACCTGGGTGGTGAGTTCAGTCTTCTCCCCCAGCTTCCCTCCACTCTGAGTCTGGCCTTGATGGCCCCCAGTTCTGTCCGAGGCAGTCCGAGGCACTGCCCAGCATTCCTGGGACTCCTGTTTGCAGAGGAGGCTGCCCGGGTAGGAAGGGTCAGCAGTGTGGTCTGTCTGGTGCCTCCCTCTGCCTCGCATGGCTCCCAACCCCTCCTCCTGCTCCATGCTCCCCAGAGATGGAGAGGGTGGACCCCTCTTCATGCTGCTGGATGGCAGGGAACTGGCTCTAGCTCATTTCTGCTGCCCTTGTTCTTTGCTTTGGGAGCCCCAGTTCTCTCTTCCCGGCTCATGGCAGGCCTTCTCCTGCCCCTGGTACCACACAGCTCTGAAAAGAATTGGCTTCCTCTCTCTGCCTGAGTCTCCTCATTGGTAAAATTGATTGGTTGTAGATTGGGGCTTTTTTGCTCTCTTTGGCCCTGTGCCACAGTGATGCAGACTGTCTCCCTGGCAGATTTCCCACATTAGCCCTTACCTGGCCCTTAGCTATGTCTCCAGCCCAGGAAGAGGCAGAGGAGGCAAATGATGAGGGCAGCCAGGCCCACGTGGATGCCCACCACAACCCCAGGCAGTGGGCTGCTCTCACCCTGGCTGCAAGAGCACCCAGTCTTGGACTCTGTGGACACTGTGCCATCTGTCAGAGAGAGGACCAGGGTTGGAGGTGAAGCCCAGCCCTCTTCCTGAAGACTGGCAGCCATGGGTCCTATCAGAGGGGCCTGCTCTGACCCCAGCCCTACTACCCTCCTACCAGACCCCACTTACCAGGAGTGGCCAGGGGCACATCACACAATGAGACACAGCGGGCACTGCTATTTCCATCCCCATTGCCATTGAACGCCTGCAGCTTGATGTCATAGAGAGCAGCCGGTTCTGCCGGGAGCAGGGGAATGTGAAGGGGACGGGCATTTCTGGGCCAGGAAGCTCAGTACCTGGGGCAAGATCACACTGAGAAAGGCAGGCCTTGAGTGGCACAGGAAGGTTCAGAGCCTCACCCAGGTCTGTGTAGAGGAAGGAGCTGACACTGCTGGCCAGGAGCAGAGGCCCCTGAAAATGGGCAGCAGGCAGCTTGCGGTGAAAGTTTGAAGCCTTGGATGGGCCCCAGCTGGGGTGGCAGCTCCCAGGAGGCCTGCACAGAGGTGGCATTCAGCACTTTGGTGGAGAAGCCCAGGGCAGCAGGGGCTGCAGAGGAAAACAAGCAAACTAGTTGGCAGTCCCTGCCCACCTGAGGCCAGGGACTTCCCAGGGCTGGAGAGGCTGTCACTCACTGCTGCCCATGGTGGAGGCAAAGATGGGAGCAGAGTCCTGACTGGCACCCTCTGCTGAGTAGGCCCGCAAATGGATGGTGTAGGCTGTGGCAGGCTCCAGGTTGGAGAAGACGTGCTCAGAAGTGCCTTTGCTTATGGCCTCTTGGAGCTCCGGGCCAGATGGCTCTGAGGAGCAAAGCAGCATCTTCTCACTAGCCACGTCCCCACACCTTCACAAACTGGGGACGAAGCCCCTCTTGGTGCCTGGCTGGGCCAGCCAAGCCTCCAAGGAGAGCAGGGAAGGGAGCTACAGAAGTTGGAGCTAAGCTGAGAAAGGATGAGGATGAGGATGAGGAAAGGGCCTAGAGTCAAGCTGAAAAGCAGTAAGGAAGCACCAAAAGACCATGTACAGAGGCAGCCAGCCCAGAGAACCACAGGCCCAGAGGCCTGGGAAGAATCCAGAAGGGTCTGGGGTCATGGAGGAGACTGGGGCTCAGAGAGTGAGAGGGACTCACCCAGGACATCAGCAGTCAGGAGCAGAGATGGGCTGGTGCCAGGGACTCCTGGCCCCTGGCCCTGCTCTGAGGTCAAAGCCCTCTCCACCCACCCACACCCACCTCCCACAGGCCGGAGGTGCAGCACGTAGCCAATGATGTCCCTGCTGGAGGGGGGGGTG
Organism: Homo sapiens; assembly: GCF_000001405.40. Lineage (NCBI taxonomy): Eukaryota > Metazoa > Chordata > Mammalia > Primates > Hominidae > Homo > Homo sapiens. The sequence goes on along the minus strand of NW_003315905.1, from coordinate 117,367 downwards.
GCTCCCAGGACACTCGAATGGCAGAAGTAGAGAGAGCCATGGCATGCAGGCCCCTGGGGACGGGGTGGCTCTGGGCCCCCTGTCACAACCAGGCGGGCACTGGCCTGGTTGGAGCCCGTGCTGTTCTCTGCCACGCATTGATAGATGGCCTCATCCTCAACTGAAACCCCTGCCAGCATCAGCGTACTAGAGAAAGACAAACTCAGCTACTGGGAGCCCTTTCCCACCAAGACTTAGTGGAGTGGCCCTAGAGGAGGAGGCTGTGTGGGGACATTACCTGTAATGGAGCAGTCAGGGCAGAGCCTCCTGGGGGAGGGGGGAATTGCTGGAAGTAGAAGGTAACTTGCTGGGGGTTTGTGGATGGGTGTGGATTTTTGAGATTTAGGTAGTGAGTGTTGCATGTAGGTGGGGGTGGACGCCCAGGGTGGGTAGGGGGACCTACCATTGCCAGTGGGCAGTGGGGAGTGGTGAGACACGAGTACCTATTGTTGTGAGTCAGCCTGATGTTATTCCCAGGACTCAACACCTTCCCATTCTTCAGCCAGACCAGACGGGACTCAGGGACGCCCTGGGCCACGCAGGTGAAGATGGCACTGCTGCCCGGAGGCTTGGACAAGGACTGTGGCCACTGGACAAACTCGGGGAGCTGGGCAGGCAATAGCATGGAGGAAGGTGCCGTGAGACCCAGCCTCTTGCCTCCTGCCCTGGACCCTCTCCAGATCCAGGCTCCTGTCAGGGAGCTGGGGTGCTCCAGCACTCTCCCCACCCAGTTGGGCCCTTGGGGCTCACCCTGCACGAGCAGGACGCCCTGCGCTGTGCGCCGGACATGGGTGCCTGGCCGATTGGCGGCGCAGACATAGACACCTGAGTGCTGGACTGAGACGTCGGAGATCATGAGATTCCCTGTGTCCAGAATGTCCAGAACTTGGATGCCCTCTACGCCGATGGAGCGGCCATCTGCAAGAAGGCGTTGGGGGGTCAGGCTGGGATAGGACGAGGGAACAGGGCTCTGAGAGACAGCAAGGGGGTGGGGGGCGGCTGCGCACCCAGGCGGCTCCAGGAGACAAGCGGCCAAGGGTGACTGGTGGCAATGCACTCCAGCACTGCCGTCTGGTGCACTGTGAGGGTCAGGTTCTGAGGCCCAGACAGGATCTCTGGCTCCTGCAGCAGCCTCAGGGGTCCCACTGTGTGGTGGAAACAAGCAAATTGGATCAGGAAAGGAGAACCTCCTTCCAATACTCAACTTCTACTCCAAGCACACTCTTCCAGCCCACAAATGTCACCAGACCTCAGAGGTGTGCTTTGCAGCTGCTATTCCATCCCCAATTTACAGATTTTAAAAATGACCTGCCCAAAGTCCCATGGAAGTAGCTATCAGGCTGAAGGTCTGGTAGACTGGGGGTGCGGAGAGAGAGGAGAGAGCATTCTCCTCCTACAAACCCTGTGGGTGGCCCCACCTTCCCTGGGCGCCTCACCCTGAGGGGCAGGTAGAGGCACCCACAAAGTTAGTAGGAGGCGCTCCCTCAGAAAGCATGACCAGCCTCCTAAGACCTCAGCCTGCTTAGCTGCTTAGGAAGGATGTGTTTTCCCAAAGTAACTCTTGTTTTGGGTCTAAATCACATCTTCATTTTATGCCATGCTCCCCCGTTTCATTAGTTTATTCAACAGGTCATCACTGGGGGCTCCCATGTGCCAGGCAGCACCCTCACACTGGGAGCACAGTTGTGAACAACATCGTGTGAAACAGAGCTCTGCCTTCCCATAGGCCATCATCCTCATTTTCTTTACCACCTTGTATCATGTGAGAACTTAACGTGTCTTTCCTTTCATAAATGCCCTTTATTAAGAATGTCTCAGATAAAATGTTTCTAAAATGAAAGTTTCTCAAGGGCTGGTCTAAAGTCTTACACATCTTTATCCCTCAAGGTGTAGGATTGTGTTTTGTTCATTCACTTATTCAGCAACTATAGATTGAAGGCCTACTTTGGGCCCAGCCCTTCTCCATTTGCCTCTTGCAAGCTGCAGTACAGGCTGTGGGCTGCCCTGGAATCTCCTGGCCTCATTCAAAGAGGCTGTGTCCTGCCTGGCCAGACAGTTCAGTGAGGGGAGGCTGGGCCACCCGGGCCGACCCCTTCCCCATGCCAGACATTGGCTGCGAGCCCCACAGATTGTCCCATTTTGCCCTCACCACAGCCTGTGTGCGGAGTACTGTTATTTCCCCCATTTACATGAGAAGATCAAGGATCAGAGAGGTTAAGTAACTTGCCCAATGACAGAGGCACTGGCAGAACTGGGGGACTTCCTGGATCTTGGTAGCACTGAACAGCTGACAAAGAGGATCCCCTCTTTAGCCGCTGTGAGCTCCTTGAAGTCTGGGAAATTCTGTCTCACCCTGGTGCACGCCCAGGGTAAGTGCCTGTCCAGGTGTGTGCAGTTGAGTGCATTAGGGGTGAATGGCTTGGGGCCTTGGTCCCCAGCTCCTGCCCCTGGGGAAGACTACTCTTGACACCAGCTCCTTTAGGCAACCCTTGAGCCTTCGGTTTCTGATTGGTCCTCTGCCCCCAACAGGCGCCTGCTCCTCCTGCTAACCTCCTGTCGCTCTCTGGCCATTCGTCTCCCTGCTCCGCGGGCAGCAGAATCCTATGTCTGCTCGATAGCCTTGAGAGACATAGCCTCCTGCCCTGCCCTCCTGCCCCAGACTGTGGATAGGAACGGAACACCACAGGCCAGAGGGACCTCATTGGGCTCCTCTGCTCCTGCAGAGGAGCCGCTGACCCCCACCCTCGCTTTGAGTTTCTAAGTCAGTTACAGATCAGAAACACAACCGTTCCCCCTTCCCCTGCCAGTCTTAAGTTTAAAAATTATATACCGGCCGGGCGCAGTGGCTCACGCCTGTAATCTCAGCACTTTGGGAGGCTGAGGCGGGCAGATCACGAGGTCGAAAGATGGAGACCATCCTAGCCAACATGGTGAAACCCCATCTCTACTAAAAATACAAAAATTAGCCGGGTGCGGTGGCGGGCGCCTGTAGTCCCAGCTACGCGGGAGGCTGAGGCAAGAGAATCGCTTGAACCCGGGAGGCGGAGGTTGCAGTGAGCCGAGATGGCGCCACCGCACTCCAGCCTGGCGACAGAGCGAGACCCCGTCTAAAAACAAAAAAATAGATATAGCCTTCGGTGAGATTTTGTCAGAGATGTTTTGAAAGTTCGCCCAGGTGCAGCAGTGGTGTCCCGTGGTACACTTGCTTATTTATACCCTGGAGCCCCCTAGTGGCTGATTCAGGCATGACTTTCCCTCACAAACACCTGCGGCATCTCTGGTTTAGGCAGGGTCTAACCTGCCTCTCCTGCTAGGCACCAGCTCCTCATAGGCTCTGCTGTGGCCTTCACTTTGGGCACAAAACTCTCCCACCCCATTTGGCCTGCAAGTGGGGTCATCCTGGGTGTTTCATCTCAGGTACAAAGCTATTTTCATCCTCACCCCAAGAAGGAGACGTGCAAGTGTCCATGCACACATGCACATGTACATGCAAGCACAGACACATACACGAACACATGCACATCTACACGCCATGTGTATGGGGGCCACGTGTTCAAAACACAGGCTGACTCAGCCCCAACGCTAGACCCTCCAGAGCTCCCACTACCCTCTGGATCAAGTCCAAACTCCTTTCATGGTATGTGCCTTGCCTACTCGCCAACATTAACTTTGCTACCCTGAATTCTGCCCATTCTGTGGTCCAGCAACACAGAACTGCCTGTGTGAACTTTGTTGTCCTCACCCTTGTGCATTTGTCCAAGGAAATGCCCCCGCCCTTACCTCCTGACCTTGGCTTGCCTCTCTCCACTCACCCTTCAACACCCGGCTTGGGGTAGCTTACTCCAGAAGCCCCTGACAATCCTTGCCCACAGCCCAACCCTGGGTTCCCGCAGCACCACCTTCTCTCTCAGGTTGTGAGCTCCAGGAAGCCAGGGATGGCTCAAGCCTGCTGCCCTCCCACACCTGGCACAGTCATAGGTGCTCAAAATGCCTGCCTGTCCCATGTACAACCACAGCAACCATACCCTCCCCTCTGCCCAGTGCCCACACTGGGCCTGGCTTACCACTCAGGGTCAGCTGGGCATCCTGGCTGTGGCGGGTACTGGCCACATTCCATGCCACGCAGCGGTAGGTTCCCATGTCAGTCTGGCTCACACTGGTGATGTGGAGGATGCCACTAGGCAGCAGTGTGACCCTGAGGATGCAGAGGTCAGGGCTCCATGGCCTGTGCCCTGGCCCACAGCCCACCGTCCCATTGCACTCCTGGCAGGTGCTCACCGGTGGTTGGCAGTATTCAGGGCTGTGCCATTGTGCTCCCAGGAAATGGATGGCTCAGGCACCCCCTGGATCAGGCACTGGAAGCGAGCAACTCCACCCCGCTCCACCTCAATGGATTCTGGATGTTGGTGGAAGCGGGACAGACCTAGAGGATGGGGGGGCCACTTGGGCACCTGCAGAGCTGGCCCTGGGCTATCCCCCCACAACCAAGTCCCAGGGCTGGGCCCCACCTCTGTGCCCACATCTGCCACATCCTCTTCAGTATAGAGCCCTGCAGCCTCATGTCTAGGACTTCTGTGGGCTATAAGCACTTTGCCTTCCTCCATTACAAAAATTTTAAATCATAGTTTACAATGGCATTGGAATATAGACAAGTATAATCCAGTCTGGACTCATTTTTACATATTTATTATTGTATTCATTTTTTTCTTCTGGTTTTGAAGAAGTTAAAACATTTTTGTGGGCCCCTAAAAGAATCAGAGGCTCTACCAGTGTGTACACTGTGTCTAATGGCTGGGCTGGCCCTGCTCAGGCCCACTCTCAGCGAGTCTGGGCCCCATGGGTGCCTTCTGTGGGTGCCCCACCAACTCTCATCCCCCAATCCCAGGAGCAGCCCTGTCACTTACTTGCCAGCTGTACCCGGGCCTGTCGGCTCACCAGCCGCCCGTAGCGGTTCTGGGCCACGCAGTGGTACTCGTGGGCACGGGAAGGGAGGCTCCGGCGGGAAGGCAGGGCGGCCAGGTGCAGGGAGCCATCTGGCATCAGGGTGACACCACTCTCATTGGCTAAGGCCAGCCTATCCCGCTGCCAGGAAATGGACACAGGCGGCTCACCCTCCACCTGGCAGGGCAGCACCAGTGGGTGCTCCCACACAGCCACTGTGTCCCCCAGCTCCTGCACGAAGGCCAGCTCGGAGCCTGCAGCACAGCCTGTAGGGACAGCCAGCACAGCCTGAACACGGCGGCCCCCTGAGGCCCACCCTTTGTCCACCACCTCCCCCATGGCTTTGATTCCCTCCCAGCCTTGGCGAGGGGCAAGGGACAGGACTTGACTTTAGGGAGACTTTGGGTCAGCAAAGGAGGAACAGGGAAGAGAGGGCAGGGCCTGGCCATCTGAGGAGCAGGGCGGGCCACTGTCCGGCTGGCGGGTGCGGTGTGGGCCTGGCGGGCCGGCTGTGATTGATGGCCTCTTTCAGCTGGGCCCTGGCAACGGGGAGGGGGCGGGGTGGGCACAATGGTGAGGTCAGGGGCTGAGGCGTGAGCATTGTGCTCCCCAGGGGACAATGGGATCGCCCCCTCCCTCCCCCACCGGCCCATCTGCCTGTCTGCCTGCAGGGTCAGCTTCCCAGGACTCCTGGCTCTCCCCCTTCCCCCTCCCGCCACCAGGACCCTGGCCTCTGAATAGGGAAGGAACACACTTACACTCACACACACTCATTCACGGACACACACACACTTGGATTAAAAATCACAACCTCACTGGCCACCAGGTCTTCTAGACACAGACAGATTCCATCCCAGATGCACACTCAAGGAGGCCCCAAACACAGGTCACACATAGATGTCCCTACAGACTCAAAGTCACAAATACATAAGCACAGGGCCACAGACACTAACAGCACAGGCCCAGAAATGCATGAGCAGAGCTGTGAACCCACAGCCTCCCTTCCCACACACCCCCATAAATACAATAACTCAGCCTGTAAGGCTGAGCCAGGACCCCCAGCAGATGGGGTGGATAGGCGGGCAGACAGAGCCTCCGAGGGGCACATGGGCAGGGGGCTCAGCCAGCCTTGGTTGGCTCAGGGACATCTGTGGGTAAGCCTCTGGGGCCCTGCCTCTGCATGCCCCGCAGTCTGCTCAGCCACTTGCCTCACGTGGCCCCCAGGTCCCCTTCTAGCCACTGTGCCCCAAAGCCTGGGCTCCTAGAGCACCCCCCACAGCTCTCCCGCAGCCCTGCCTGCCCCTCCTGCTCACCCCTCTCCTCTGCTGTCCTCAGGGTTTCTCCATCTCCACTCCGGCCACCTCCATCCCTCTGCTTCCCCAACCTTGCCCCGCAACTCTCCCACCCCTATGCCTGCCTCTTTTTCTTCCCCGTCCCTCTGCCCTGGCTTTCCCTATGGCCCCCATGGCTCAGCCTCTTACCCCAGCCTGGGAGCAGCAGCAGCAGCAGCCCCATGTCCCTGCCAGGCACGGCCCCTCAGCCTGGGCAACTTCTCCAGCAGCCCCAGTCTCCTGCCTTCAGCCTGGGGGCCCTTGGGCTGTGGGCATTCTCCACCCCGCACTTTGGCGCACAATGTGGGGGCCCTGGTCTTGCTTTGGGGAGCCCAGGTTCTGGGGTGCCAAGCTCTGGGGTCGAGACTGAAGGCTACTGTCCTTGCCTTCGTGTTCCTGGAGCTGGGTCTCTCTCTGCTTTCAGCCTGAGCCCCCTCCCCACTCCTATCCCCACTGTCCCCTCCTCCCAGGGCCAGGACCCAGACACCGAGACAATTGGGGCGGGGAAAGGGGGCGAGGGCCAATGAGAGCGGGGCAAAGTTGGGGGGTCAGACCCGCCCCTTTCTCAGCTTCCAGAAATCTCTCCCAGCCCATTACCCACCCCTTACTCCCTCTCAAACTTTGACTGAATGAGAGTGAAGTTCTAGGAGGAGTTGGGGCATCTGGTCCCCCAAGCCCATCCCTGGGGATCCATGTCCTGGACAGGGGTGGCTTGAAGTCTAATTTGGGGGTCCTGGGGAGGGGTGCAGAGCCCCCACTCTCCTAGTAGAGTCACCGTCCCAGGTGCTGAGCCTGGGCCTGAAGTGGGGGACCTCATCCCATTAGTTCAGTCCCAGCCCAGCAGCCCCAGCACCATTCATAGTGTCAATTTCCAAAGCTGTTTTCTCTATTCTTATTGGGACAATGGATTGGGGCCACCAGGGGCCGGGAGGCTGCCAGCCAGTGGGAGGTGGAGGACCAGCCCCATCCTAAAGAGAAGAAAGAAACCCAGGCCTCCCGCCCCTTGCCAGGCTGACCACTTAAAACATGCAAAAAGAGGGACTACCCTTCCACCAAAGGAGACTGGGACTCAGGCAAGAGCTGACTTTGAGACTTGCTATTTCTGGAGGATACCCTCCCCTAAACGCCACCCTCCTGAAAAAGAGCATAGCTTAGGAAAGATGACAGGGGTACCAGGGATGTATGGGAGTATCTGTGAGAGACAATAAGGGGGAAGGCTGGGCTGGGGGAGTCTCGTGTGGCAGAGAATGAGGCCCCATCACCCAGCTTCCAACCCTAGGAGCTCCAGCCTGTCTGGCCCCTGACTCAGTCTCCCCCTGAATCCCGGTCCCCTTGCCCACTCCTGTCAGCCTCTGCATCTGGCCTTGCCCTGCCCACTTGAGGCTGCCCCTTGCCTCTTCAGCACAAACTCTCACCCTCAGTCTTCGCCCCCGCTTGCTCAGCTGCCTCTCCGGCTTGTCCCACCTTGCTCACAGGCTTCAGAATCAACTCAGGCCATTGTCCCTCCCAACTCAGCCTCCTCCTCTCAGACAGCAGTCCTTGGTGTCTGTGTCCCAGGACGGGGCTACCCCTAGCAGAGACCTCCATGGGACAGGAGAGCGAGCAGCCTCCCCTCGGGGCCTCCTCGTCCCAGCCCTGCATCTCTCTGTCCCGGAGCCTCCTATGAGGGTTCCCGCTGCTTCCCCAGAGGGGCCTCCTGAGTCATGGCGGTGGCCTGGGTAGGGAAAGGCGCATAGGCCCTGGGGTCAGATGTGGAACAAATCACTAGCTGCGTGTCCTTGCATAGGCAAATTTACCTTTCTTTTTTTCTTTTTCTTTTCTTTTTTTTTTTTTTTTTTGAGACAGAGTCTCACACTGTTGCCCGGGATGGAGTGCAGTGGCGTGATCTCAGCTCACTGCAACCTCCGCCTCTGGGTGCAAGTGATTCTCCTGTCTCAGTCCCCCGAGTAGCTGGGATTACAGGTGCCCGCCACCATGCCCGGCTAATGTTTTGTATTTTTATTAGAGGCGGGATTTCTCCATGTTGGCCAGGCTGTTCTTAAACTCCTGACTTCAGGTGATCCGCCCACCTTGGCCTCCCAAAGTGCTGGGATTACAGGCATGAGCCACCACGCCCGGCTGGATTAGTGACCTTATAAGAGAAGGAGAGATCTCTCCACGTGCACATACCAAGGAAAGGCGCGTGGTGACTCCACGGGAACTCAGGCCTCTGCAAGCCAGGGAGGGGCCCAATCGCCGGGAACGGGATTGGCCAGCACCTTCAAGCTTGGACTTTCCAGCCTCCAGTACTGTGAGAAATAAAGTCCTGTTGTTTAAGCCATGTAGTGTCTGGTGTTGTGGCAGCCCGAGCTGACTCAGACGCCCCATCTCCCGGCCAGCTTCCCCTGCTGCTGTCAGAACTGCCCACTCTCCAACAGCTACTGAGAAGATGCATCACTGACTGCGCCACTTGCCTGTCACCTCCAAATCCACACTCCAGCATGGCTCGCAGGACAAAGAATGACCCATACAGGAGACCTGGTCCAAGGCCTGTCACTAAACAGCCATCCCATCTTAGCCTAGTGATCCTCGCCTCTCTGCCATCTGCTCACCTGTAAGAGGGGAGAAGGTCAAGGCCTGCCTTTCACAGTTGCAAGGACGAAGTGAAATGTGGTGCTAAGGGCCAAGCACTTCCTCTTTTTTTAGAAGAGATAAATTTATTTTTTGAGACAGGGTCTTACTCTGCTGCCCAAGCTGGAGTGCAGTGGCAAGATCACAGCTCACTGCAATCTCCACCTCCTGGGCTCAAGTGATTCTCCCACCTCAGCCTCCCGAGTAGCTGGGACTGCAGGTGTGTGTTACCATGCCAGGCTATTTTAAAAAATTTTTCGTAGGTATGTAGAGATAGGGTCTCACTATGTTGCCCAGGCTGGTCTTGAACTCCCGGACTCAAGCGATCTCCCCACTTCAGCCTCCCAAAGTGCTGGGATTATAGGCGTGAGCTGCCGTGCCTGGCCCACTTCCTCTTTTTTCTAGGAACAGCTTTACTGAGATATAATTTACATAGCAGAAATTTCACCCATCACCCATTTAAGGAATTCAGTGGCTTTCTGTATATTTTCAGAGTTGCACAACCATTACCACAATCTATTTTAAAACATTTCATCACCCCGAAAAGAAACTTAGTACCTACTAACATTCACTCCCCATCTGCCCTCTCTCAGCCCCTGCCAATCACCATTCTACTTTCTGTTTCTATGAATATGGCTACTCTGGGTACCTCATATACAGTGGAATCATATGATATTTGTCCTTTCGTGTCTGGCTTATTTCACTTAGCGTAATGTCTTCAAGTTTCATCCATCTTGTAGCCTGTCTCAGCACTTCATTCTTTTTAATCCCTGAATAAGATTCCATTGCATGGATAGACTACATTTTGTTTATCTGCTCATCAGGAGACTGACATTTGGGTTGTTTCCACTTTTTGGCTATTATGAGCAATGCTGCTACAAACATCCGTGGAAATGTTTTTGTGTGGACGGACATCTTCTGTTCTCCTGGGCATGCGCCTAGGAATGGAGTTGCTGGGTCACATGGTAACAGTATTTTGAGGAACCGCCAAACTGTCTTCCACAGTGACTGCAGCATTTTACATTCCAAGCACTTCTTTTTATAACACTCAGGATAGGAGTTAACTTTTATTGGTCCCAGGCCCCCTTGAGAATTTGATTAAAGCCTCCCTCCTGCCACCAAGGGGATAGACCCACACTCCCTGGAACGCTGGCAAACGCCGTCCTGACGCAGGCTAGGAAGCTCCATCCCAGGGATGGAGCCCGGAATAGCCTTGGAGCTCAGGAAACGCCGCCAACATGGACTTGCTGAGAGCTGCCCTCCTTCCCTCCCTCTCCAACAATTGCCTATTGGCTCAACCCCGAACAGTCCTCTGGCGTCATCTGAGTTTTCACAGCTGCCCAGGCTTTCCTGGAATAACGTCCCTGGAAAGTCTCAGCTGGCAAACAGAATCCCCCGAAAAGTCCCCAAGCACGCCCAGGACACTGTCTCCTTTCTCAGCCACCTCCTCTCTCCTGTCAGCCTGGTCCTCTGCCTCTCTCCGAGCCTTTTTCTCCCTCTTCCCTTCTCTGTCCATCTCCATTGGCCTTCCCATCTGTGGTCGGCAGAATAGGGCCCTGGAGAGATCCAAGTCGTCATCCCCGGAACCTATGAATGTGCTAAGTTACCTGGCGGGGAGGAATTAAGGTTGCTACAGCTGATCTTAAAGAGGTGCTCCGGGATTATACAGGTGGGCCCAATGTCATCATGAGGGTCCTTAAAAGCGGAAGAGGAAGGTGGAGAGGAGAGAGAGATGGAGAGCCAGAGACGCGATGTGCAGGAGGAAGGGGCCACAGCCAAGGATGCCCGGCCTCTAGAAACCGGAAAAGGTGAGGAAGCGCGTGCTCCCCTAGAGCCTCCAGAAGGAAACGTAGCCTTCCAACGCTAATTTTAGGCCAGAAAGCCCTGTCAGGCGTCTGACTGTAAAGCTATCAGATCAGACATTCATGTTTGAAGCCCTTATGTCTATGGTAATCTGTTACAGCCCCCGCAGGAAACGCACGACTCCTGTGGGCTCCGTCTCTGATGTTCAATCCAGGGCGCTGCATTTCACACCGGCTTTCATGCGTGTCTACCCCAGAGCGAGCTCCAGGAGGGCGGGGACTTTGTGGTGCTCCCAGCTGTGTGCCCAGAGCAGAGTCTGGCACAGGATGGGCTCTCAGTTAATGTTTGTTAAGGGGAGGAGGTGCCGGGCTTGGTGGCTCGCGCCTGTAATCCCAGCACCTGATCACTTGAGGTCAGCCTGGGCAACAGGGCAAAACCCCATCTCTACAAAAAATTAGCCGGGCACCTGTAGTTCCAGCTACTCGGGAGGCTGCGACAGGAGGTTCATTTGAGCCTGGGACGCAGAGGTTGCAGTGAGCCAAGAAAGCGCCCTGCACTCCAGCCTGGGTGACAGAGTGAGGACCTTGTCTCAATAAAGAAAAAAAAAAATTACAAACGTTTTCTTCATAACCACAATGCCATTATCATATATGACAAAATTCTTTAATTATTCCTTAATATCATCTAATACCTAGTCCTTAACCAAATATCCCTGATTGTCTGAAAAATGTCTTTCTACTGTTTTTCTGTTTTGAATCAAGAACAAGGTTTATACGCTGCATTTGATTATTGTGTCTCTTAATGATCTTATCAAAGGCAAACACCCCCAACCCTCACCCTTATATGTCATTGAATTGTTGAAGAGACTGGGTAAATTTTCCAGTAAAATTTTGCATGTTCTGGATCTGTCTGATTTTTGTGTGTGTGTGTGCTATTGAATACGTTCCTCTATAAATGGATGTTGGCTCAGAGGCTTGGTTTATTCAGGTTCCACTTTTAGGCAAGAAGACTTTATTGTTGGTATTTTATGCTGCACACTGCATTCAGGAGATGCACAATATCTGGTTGTCTTACTGTTAGTGATTCTAAAATTGATTAGGGGCTACAGGTGCTGATAACCTGATCTCTCCAAGATTCCTTGTCAATCTTTTCTTTTTTTAATTTTTTTCTTCGAGATGGAGTTTCACTCTTCTTGCCGAGGCTGGAGTGCAATGGTGCGATCTCAACTCACTGCAACCCCGGCCTCCTGGGTTCAAGTGATTCTCCTGCCTCAGCCTCCTGATTACAGGCGCATACCACCACGCCCAGCTAATTTTGTATTTTTAGTAGAGACGGGGTTTCACCGTGTTGGCCAGGCTGGTCTCAAACTCCTGACCTCAGGTGATCCGCCTGCCTTGGCCTTCCAAAGTGCTGGGATCACAGGCGTGAGCCACCATGTCTGGCCCCTCATCAACCTTTTCTTTCTTTCTTTCTTTCCTTTTTTTTTAAGAGATGAGGTCTCCCTGTGTTGCCCAGGCTGGAGTGCAGTGGCTATTCACAGGCACAATCATAGTTCTCTGCAGCTTCAAACCCCTGGGCTCAAATGTTCTCCCTCTGTAGCCTTCCAAGTGGCTGGGACTACAGGCATGTGCTACCACACCCAGCCTCATCAACCTTTTATCCAATAGTCATAGCTATTGGTAATAATTGCCTGACAGTTATTTCATTAGGGGTTGCAAAATGCTGATTTTCCAGTTCTGTCATTCCTTTCTCATTTATTAACTGAAATTCTTCTGTAAAGAAAGTCCCCTCATCAACTAGGACAATTTGGTAACCCTGAAATTCAGTTCACATGGGAAAGAAGGGAGAGTGCTTAGTTTTTTCCTTTGTTTGCCAATTATCAGAGTAAAGAGTTGGTACTCTGTCCAATGTGTTTCTTTTTCTCTCTCCCTTTATCCATCTTCCCTTTAGTAGAAGTCCCTTTAGTGGGAGTTTGCACTGATACTTTTTTTTTTAATTCAATGTTTCTGCTGCAATCTCTCTGAGGTTCAATTTGTCTCTATCTCAGGCCAGTGGGAGTTCAGTGTCCATTTGCTATTCCCCCGTTCTTTGGTATCTTTGCTTTCTGGAACCATCTGCCCCAGGCTCATTCAGAGTATTTTCTCCCCCAGACCTGAGATCAACCATTCCTCTAAGGGTGCCAGGATTTTTATTCAATTAGTTTTATTTATACTAAAATACTTTTTCTCTGGAAATATTGACCCCTAATATGTGCACTGTTATACAATATGCCATTAAATAGTTTCAAGTAATAACACCCATATTACCTTTAACAAGTACATTACCAAATGAAGTATAAGATATCTTTATTCTTCCTTGGGGAAAAACTAAGTATTACAAAATTCTCACTGTACAAAACAAACAAACAAACAAACAAAAAACAAAGATAAACTGTTCTTCATCAAAATGTAAAGCCTGGGCCAGGCGTGATGGCTCACGCCTATAATCCCAGCACTTTGGGTGGCCAAGGCGGGCAGATCATCTGAGCCCTAGAGTTCCAGACCAGCCTAGCCAACATGGTAAAGCCCTGTCTCTACTAAATATACAAAATCGGCCAGGCGCAGTGGCTCACGCTTGTAATCCTAGCACTTTAGATGGCTGAGGCAGGTGGACTGCCTGAGCTCCGGAGTTTGAGACCAGCCTGGGTAACAACAACAACAACAAAATTAGCCGGGCATGGCAGCGTGCGCCTGTAGTCCCAGCTACTCGGGAGGCTGAGGCAGGAGAATTGGTAAAGCCCGGGAGATGGAGGTTGCAGTGAGCTGAGATCGCTCCACTGCACTCCAGCCTCGGTGACAGAGGGAGGCTCCATCTCAAAAAAAAAAAAAAAAATTTAGCTGGGCATGGTGGTACACACCTATAATCCCAGCTACTTGGGAGGCTGAGACAGGAGGATCGCTTGAACCTTGGAGGTGGCGGTTGCAGTGAGCCAAGATTGTGCTACTGCATTTCAGCCTGGGTGACAGAGTGAGACCCTGTCTCAAAAAAAGAAAAAAAAATTAAAACCTTTGTGCTTCAAAGGATGCTTTTGACAAGAAAGTGAAAAGACAACAGAATCAAATATTTGCAAACTATATATCTGATAGGAAACTTATGTCCAGATTAAAAGAAAAACTTGTACAACTCAATAATTAAAAGGCAAATAACCCAGTTACAAAGTGAGCAAAAAATATGAATAAACATCTCTCCAAAGAAGATATGCAAATGGCCAGTAAACACATGAAAAGAAACTCAACCTCATTGGCCATGGGAAAATGCAAATCAAAGCCACAATGAGATACCACATCGCACCCAGTAGGATGGCTATAGTAAAAAAAGACAGATAATAACAAGTAGTGGGGATGTGGAAAAACTGGAACCCCTCATATACTGCTGGTGGGAATGTAGAATGGTGCAGCTACTGTGGAAAACAGTTTGGCAGTTCCTTCAAAAAGTTAAACATAGAGTTACTGTTTGACCTAGCAATTCCATTCCTAGATATCTACCCAAGAATATTGAATGTATATGTTCACACAAAAATTTGTACATGAATGTTGATAGCCATATTATTTAAATAACCAGAAGGCATAAATAGCCCCAGTGTCCATCAACAGATGAATGGATTAACAAAATGTGATAGATCCATACACCGGAATATTATACAGCCATAAAAAAGGAATGAAGCCAGGTGTGGTAGCTCACACCTGTAATCCTAGCACTTTGGGAGGCTAAGGCTGGTGAATCACTTGAGCTCAGGAGTTTCTGATCAGCCTGAACAACATGGCGAACCTCCATCTCTACAAAAAATTAAAAAGAAAATTAGCTGGGCATGGTGGCAGCTACTGGGGAGGCTGAGGTGGAAGGATTGCTTGAACCTGGGAGGCGCAGGTTGCAGTGAGCTGATATTGTGTCACTGCACTCCAGCCTGGGTGACAGAGTGAGACCCTGTCTTAAAAAAAAAAAAAAAAAAAGAAAGAAAAAGAAAACATTCTGCTAAGTGAAAGAAGACAGACACAAAATGCAACTGAATATGGCTCTGGATGCTTGCTGCTTGCAGAGTCCAATAAACAAGAGGAAGGTCTGGTAGAAAGAAAGTGATTTTAGGCTGGTCTGAGTGCAGTGGTGTTTACAACTCATTGATCACAACCAGTTACAGATTTCTTTGTTCCTTCTCCACTCCCACTGCTTCATTTGACTAGTCTTAAAAAAAAATTTTTTTTAAAGAAAATGATTTTATTAACCAAAACTAGTAAAGGGGAAGTGGCCGGATTCCCATCCAAAGCAACCACTTTGATTTTTGCGGGGAAGGCAGGGATTAAAAAAAAAAAGAAAGAAAGAAAAAAGAAAAAAAAATTGATAAGGCATGCAAGAATTGAGCTGTGTCTTGTTCTGGTGGCTAGCTCGGGTCCCAGTCCACCTGGATCTCAGGCTGGTGTCATCTCAACAATGGCTGGGTTGTTAACTAGCAACCTTGAAGTAATCTCTGGAATTTTGCAGCTGGGTCTCCAGACTTGGTTCATCTATCTCAAGATTAGCCCCTGGAACCTCTAAGAAGGCACATAATTAGACACTAGCATATAGTTAGATAAATGTGAAGGGAATATATACTGTAGGAAAGGGAGGGATGCGGAGTCTATTTTAAGGCTAAGACAGAAGGCTTCTGCAGTTCTCCTCAAGATTATACCTTAAAACCCAAGAGAAAAAGAAAAGTTTACAGGAGGCTGAGGCAGAAGAATCGCTTGAATGCGGGAGGCAGAGGTTGCTGTGAGCTGAGATCGTACCATTGCACTCCAGTCTGGGCAACAAGAGTGAAACTCTGTCTCAAAAAAAAAAAATAATAATAATAATAATAAATTAACTTAAAAAAAAAAGGCCGGGCGCGGTGGCTCACGCCTGTAATCCCACCACTTTGGGAGACCAACAAGGCAGGTAGATCACCTGAGGTCAGGAGTTCAAGACCAGCCTGGCCAAAATGGTGAAACCCATCTTTACTAAAAATATAAAAATTAGCCGGGCGTGGTAGCGGGTGCCTGTAATCCCAGCTACTTGGGAGGCTGAGGGAGGATAACTGTTTGAACCCAGGGGGCAGAGGTTGCAGTGAGCCGAGATCGTGCCATTGCACTCCATCCTGGGTGACAAGAGCGAGACTCTTGTCTCAAAAAAAAAAAAAAAAAAAGTTCAAGGCCAGGCGCGGTTGCTCACACCTTAATCCCAGCACTTTGGAAGGCTGAGAAGTTGGCGGATCACTCAAGTCCAGGAGTTTGAGACCAGCCTGGGCAACATGGTGAAACCCCATCTGTACAAAAAATACAAAAATTAGCCGGGTGTGGTGGTGCCCATCTTTGGTCCCTGCTACTGGGGAGGCTGAGGTGGGAGGATCACTTGAACCCAGGAGGTAGAAAAAAAATTTTAAATGCATTTTAAAGTTAAGGTGCCCGGTTACAAAAAGGGAACATATGGCCGGGCGCGGTGGCTCACGCCTGTAATCCCAGCACTTTGGGAGGCCGAGGCGGGCGGATGACGAGGTCAGGAGGTTGAGACCATCCTGGCTAACAAGTGAAACCCCGTCTCTACTAAAAATACAAAAAATTAGCCAGGCATGGTGGCATGTGCCTGTAGTCCCAGCTACTCGGGAGCCTGAGGCAGGAGAATCGCTTGAACCCAGGAGGCGGAGGTTGTAGTAAACCGAGATCAGGCCACTGCACTCCAGCCTGGGCGACAGAGTGAGATTCCGTCTCAAAAAAAAAAAAAAAGAACATATTCTATACTTCCACTTACATGAAATGTCTAGGATTAGTGGTTGCCAGGGCCTAGGGTGAGGGGTGAGTGGACAGTGACTGCTAATGAGTAGGGATTTCCTTGTGAGGTGACAAAAATGTTCTAAATTAGGTGGTGGCCATGGATGCACAACTTTGCGAATATACCAAAAACACTAAATTTTACACTTTAAACGGGTGAGTTTTAAAGAGGCTCTGGGAGGAAAACTCCAGGTACTCCGGCCTCGCCCCTCCGTTTGTCTTTTTGGCTGGAAGTCAGGAGCTTCTGTACCACCATAAGAATGGCTCCGCCCGCCTCCCCAGCCTGCCCCGCCCCTCTCGCGCGCCGGGCGGGCACCGATTTGCGCTTGCGCAGCGAGGTCGGGTTTACGTAGGCGCGAAGCACCGCCCTGCAGGGGCCCGCCGGGCGGAGGCTGCCAGGGAGTATGTTGGCTCCATGCGCCTGACGCCTTTCCGCCCCCAGCAGCGCCCGAGATGGGTTTTTTTTTTTTTGCCAAGCCCCACGGGGGTCTCCGGGCGAGGGGTGCCTCCCGACTCTCCCTG
This sequence comes from Homo sapiens, assembly GCF_000001405.40. Classification (NCBI taxonomy): domain Eukaryota; kingdom Metazoa; phylum Chordata; class Mammalia; order Primates; family Hominidae; genus Homo; species Homo sapiens. The sequence goes on along the minus strand of NW_003315905.1, from coordinate 100,305 downwards.
CCAAGCCATCTCCCCGCTTGTGGGTTCGCGCGCGGCCGCCCCGGGTGCCTCGCAGCTCGCGGGCTTCCTTCCACTTCCCCTCCCCTTCCCGGGGCTCACGGAAGCAGCCGCAGCCCAGCGGCGCAGGAGGGATGGGGCAGATAGAGGCGTCGGCAAACTCTTTCAGTCCAGGGCCGCACGAGAAGTAGTTTCTGCTTTGCAGGCCATCGGGTCTCATAAACACTCGGCCCTGCTGTTGTGGCAGGAGAGCGGACATAGACAATCATAACGAACGAGCGCGGCTGTGTGCCAGCAGAACTATTTATGGACACTGAAATTTGAACCCGTGTAATTTTTACATGTTATGAAATAGTCTTTTTTTTTTCAACCACCTAAAAATATAAAAACCATTTTTTAGTGTGCTGTATGTAACAAAAACAGGCAGCATAGTTTGCTGACTCCTGCCTTTGAGGCAGGTTTGGGAAGGGGGCCCCTTTACCCCCAGGGAAGGTTCCGCAGACACAACGAGGCTGAGAGTATTGCTACGATTTGTGGACTAGGTTCTCTGCATCCATCATCCTCCTCTATCCAACCTGATGAGAAAGGGCACTCACCACCTGAGGACCACCCTAGTTCATCTGTTTTTTTTTGTTTTGTTTTTGTTTTTGAGACAGGGTCTCACTCTGTTGCCTAGGCTGGATTGCAGTGGTGCAATCTCGGCCTCCTGGGCACAAGCGATCCTCCCACCTCAGCCTCCCAAGTAGCTGGGACTACAGGTGTGCACCACCACGCCCGGCTAATTTTTGTTTTTTGTAGAGATGGGGTTTCGCCATGTTGCCCAGGCTGGTCTTGAACTCCTGGGCTCAAGTGATCCTCCCACCTCAGCCTCCCAAAGTGCTGGAATTACAGACGTGAGCCACCGCGCCTGGCCCCTGGTTCATCTTTGCAAACTATCTCATGATCTCATTTAATTTTATTTCAATTAACTTTTTGTGGGGCAACCTAATTTTTTTTTTCTTTTGAGACAGGGTCTCACTCTGTCGCCCAGGCTGTAGTGCAGTTAGCACCATCACTGCTCACTGCAGCCCCGACCTCCCAGACTCAAGGGATCTTCCCACCTCAGCATCACCCCTCTGCCCTGGTAGCTGGGATTGCAGATGCGCACTACCATGCCTGGCCATGTTGCCCAGGCTGGTGTCAAACCTAATTCTTTTAAAATTTATTTTATTTTTATTATAGCAAACAGAAAACCTGATGCTTTTGAATCAAAAGTTGGCCTTCTTGCAGCTTTCCATTTCTATCACTAATTACAGCCTCTGTGACAAAGCTGGTTCAAAGAGCCGAGCCGTGAGCCCAACATAGGAGTAGAAGACAGAATGCTGTCCCAGCGTCCCAGCGACTGGCTCAGCCCACTTTACCAGAATTCCCCTCCTCCCAGCTTACCTTGCTAAAGTGCAGATACTCAAGAGAGGGGTGGCACAGGTGCAACTGACATGTTACACTTGGCATTTGTGGGTTTGCAGAGTGAAGTGTGGGGTCAGGATTTAGGCCAGCACTATTCAGTAGAAATATAACCTGAGCCGGCCGGGCGCGGTGGCTCACGCCTGTAATCCCAGCACTTTGGGAAGCCGAGGCGGGAAGATAACGAGGTCAGGAGATTGAGACCATCCTGGCTAACACGATGAAACCCCGTCTATACTAAAAATACAAAAAATTAGCCGGGCGTTGTGGCGGGCGCCTGTAGTCCCAGCTACTCAGGAGGCTGAGGCAGGAGAATGGCGTGAACCCGGGAGGTGGAGCTTGCAGTGAGCAGAGATCGCACCACTGCACTCCAGCCTGGGCGACACAGCGAGACTCCATCTCCAAAAAAAAAAAAAAAAAAAAAAAAAAAAGAAATATAACCTGAGCCACATGTAATTCTAAATATTCTAGTAGCTACACTTTAAAAAGCAAAAATAGGCCGGGCACCTGTAATCCCAGTACTTTGAGAGGCTGAGGCGGGCAGATCACGAGGTCAGGAGTTCGAGACCAGCCTGGCCAACATGGTGAAACCCGGTCTCTACTAAAGATAGAAAAAAAAATTAGCCGGATGTGGTGGCGTGTGCCTGCAATCCCAGCTACTCGGGAGGCTGAGGCAGGAGAATTGCTTGAACCTGGGAGGTAGAGGTTGCAGTGAGCCGAGATTGCACCATTGCACTCCAGCCTGGGCTACAGGGCGAGACTCCGTCTCCAGAAAAAAAAAAAGCTTGGTGTGAGGTTCTACGATGGGGGAGGTGGCCACTCAGCTCGCAGGTCTGGGAAATCTGGGCTGAGTTAAGGTGTGGGAGAGCAGCTGCAGGAGGTGCCCCACTGCCAGCCAACACAGGCTGCCTACCCGCCCTACCCCCAGGCACACCCAAACTATTGTACTCCTCCTGGGGCAGATTGGAGAGGTGCACAGAATGAGTTAAGTTCCACATTTATTGGTCTACGCATGAAGTTTTCCCCTGCACCTTAGCGTGTGCCTTACCTAGTCTGTCAGTGAGGCTGCACCGGGCTTGCTGGTGGAAGGGGGCAAGTTGTAAAGTTTTGGAACAGGAGGGCCCGCAATAGAGACCCAAGTGTGCCAGTAGGGCATGTCCCCTGACCTCTCATGTTGGGGAGAGGGGCTAGAAGGGGAAAGGCAAAGTAGCATAAAATTTCAAGGACCCACAGCTCAAAACAGAGGGGGACTGTAGTTCCTAGGAGAAGCAGGAGCTTCATCATTTCAAGCTTTTAGATGATGAACTTTCTGGACACCTCATTTGGGGATCGAGAGGCCTTTGTCCTTTTGATTCCCACCATCCCTCCTGCCACCACATGCACTCTGAGCCTCACTCCATGGAGGGGCTTCCGTCAAACTCTCCTGCAGTACCGGAGGGTCCCCCCTGGGGACTGCTCCTTCTGGGAATGTCTGACAGTCACCAGGTAGGAGTAGGAACATCTGGAGGCAGGGGCACCCCACTCTTCCCCCTCAAAGATTGGCTTCTCAGAGACAGCTGCGAGGCAGAGGGATATCTTGAGCATCCTTTCCCCCACAGTCAAACACTTGTTTGGGCTGGTTAAGACTCTTCCCCAGGCCCGGCCACACCTGATTCTGGGGGAGCAGTTTGGGCTGGCTGCCGGAGGTGGCATTTCTGTGTGCTTCTGTCCACCTCTGCCCTTTGAGCCGACCCCTCGGGTCCTCCAGTTCCCAAGACAGAGCAGTGGGAGCCTGGCACTCGGAGAGTAAAACTGGGGCGAGCTACACAGGAGCACAGACAAACATCAGTCACCAGAGGTTCTCCAAGGACGAAGGTCACACAGGGTCTCCTGAGAGGAAAACACCAAGGTCCAGATACGGGGCTCTGGCCCACAGCCAGTCAGGGCAGGAATGTGGGGCCTGTGGCTCCACGCCAGGAGAAAACTCTCAAGGAAAAAGCAGTTCCACAGAGAGATAATGACAGATACTGTAGGTCAGAGACAGCTGGATCAGCTCCAGCCACATTTATTACAAAATAGTGACCGCAGTTCTGGTATAGAAAAGATCCCTGACAGCCCAGTACACCTGCAACGGCCCCCACCCCACAGAGTTCCTCTCTCAGGTGCCTCAGGTGTGGAAGTTCTCAGATTCGAAGGTTTCCTGCCAGGAGGGCGCTGTACCGGGCAGTTGTGAGGGGCAGGTAGGCACCTACAGCCTGGTCCAGAACGTACAGTGGGTCAGACAGGGTGCTGGGGTCGAAGCCCTCATTTGCCATCCGAACTTTCTGCTGTTTGAAGGTCTCTGTGGTGGCCAAAGACTCCTGGGGACAGGAGGGTCAGGGATTTGGAGGGAAGGGGACTCTGCCCACGTGGTTCAGGGGAGTTGCCTGAATTTTGTTAAGGAGCAAGTCTTGGGAAAGGGAGTGTGAGGTCAAGGTTTAGGGGAGGAGGTGACAGGGAGGAGAAAGAGCCAGGCCAGAAGAAGGCAGGGATAAGGAAAGAAGTGGGGTGAAGAGCTTGTGTCTCCGTGTTTTTTCTCTTCACGGAGTGTATTACGTTGGGGGTCCCTTTGTGGAGTTTGGGAGCCATCAAACTCCTAAGTTGATACACGGGGTGGATATGTGGGGTGAGGATATATGGGGTGAGGGGCCGGCGGGGGAAGTGGCCGGTTACCTGGAGCCTGAGGAATCGGGGCCGGGCATAAGGTGGCAAGTTCTCAGACACGTGGGTGTAGAGCTGCATAAGGTCCAAAGCGTGGGGGGGACGCAGAACTAGGGCTGCCATTCCAGCCCTGCCTTCATGCCCTGGTGGGTGTGGGAGACAGAGTAAGCCCCTCCATGGCTGACCACCACGAAGGCCTCGTGCTCCCTGCGCCCAAGTACTACCAATTCGGGGTGGTGGCTGGGTGCCTCCCCCACCTTCCATGCCTAGGCACCTGGCACAGTGACTCCATAGACGTTCACCTCCTGAAGAAAATCTAGGGCCTCGAAGACCTCTGCCACCTCGGTTGTGGCCACATTCTCCCCCTTCCACCTGTCAGAGAGCAGAGATCTGAAACTGGGAGTCAGGGGTCAGGGCCTTATGGGCTTGGTGGGGAGATGAGGTCAGAGGTCAGTGTCACAGGGATGAAATGGTGAGATCTGAGAATGAGAGATTAGCTTAGGACCCAGGTTGAGGTGGCAGATTAGAGAGTTGAGGTTCAGAAGCTTTGGATCACAGAGATCAGATGTCCAGGATGAAAAACCAGTTATGGACAGATACCTGAAGGTGTCTCCAGTACGATCATGGAAGCGGAGAAAACCTTGGTCATCGCAGACCAGCAGGTCCCCAGTGTTGAAGAAAACATCCCCAGGCCGGAAGACATCCTTTAGCAACTTCCCCTGGGCCAGCTCTGGCCCGCCAGCATAGCCCAGGAATGGGGACTGCTGGCTTACCGGGGCCACCAGCAGCCCTGGCTCACCTGGCAGAGTCACCAGGGTCAGGAGTGGTGTCACCTTTCCCAGAGCCTTCTGCCCCCATCCACCCCAGTCTCCAATTCCAGTCCTCCTGTGCCAGCTTCAGCACCCCGCCCACCCCACCAGAACACCACCAACCTGGAGATGTGGCCATACAGTGCCCCTGGGGGTCCCGAATTGGCTCTCCTGTGGTGACATCATAGCGAATCAAGGAGAAGGGGAAGATATGCTGGGGAAAGGGAGACCTGGGTACTGGATCATTGCAGTCACATGAGCCCCCTCTCCTGCCAGCCCTCTGCTGTTCCACGGGTTTTCAGTTTCCTCTCTGCCCCTCACCTTGTAAAGCCAGGAAGCACGCCCCACAGCGCCCCGCTGTCCTGTGTAGTTGATGGTGGCCACGTTGCCCTCTGTCAGTCCATATGTCTCCAGCACCTGCAGGGGCCCGAAGCGCCGCACAAAACGCTCCCAGGTATCTGGGCGCAGCCCGCTGCCCACTGCCAGCCGGACCTTATGGCCACGTTCTGCCTTGCTCTGAGATGAGTGGGAGAGGGGCCGGAGCTTCAGCATCAAGATGCCCGCTCCCGGAAGTGAATTCCTGTTCCCCATTCCCCAGAACCCCCTCCTACTGTGACCTCCTTCAGAGGCCGTAAGCATCAGATGGCCTAGGCCATCTCTGGCTCCTTATCTTACACTGCCATTTTCTTCTTGCTGCTTCTCCCTCCAACTCCCTGTCTCCTGTCAACTGTCCTGCTCCCCGTGAGCTAGCCCTGTGTCAGCAGCTCTGCCCAGGATCTGTGCCCACGCACCGGGGGCTGGTTGACAAGGTATCGGCACAGCTCCCCAATGTACTGGAACACCGTCACCCTGTGCTGCTGGCAATCTTCCCAGAACTGACCAGCCGAGAACTTGGATTTCAGCACCACTGTGGCCCCTGCCAGAAGTGGGCAGGGGGGAAGAAGGGAGGTAAGATTAGGAGCAGAGTGGGGAGCCCAAGCCCCTCTTTCCAGACCCCAGCCATCACTGTAGTCTTTCCCTGGGAAGGGCCCACTGTGGGAGTCACACCGTCAGGAAGCCGTGCTGGCCCTCTTTCCCCTCCCCCGGCCCCTGTCCCCAGCCTTAGAAGAGGTGAATGCCCTTTCCCTACTTCCCAGCCCCAAAGATCTCATCCTCCACACTCTCACTTCCTTGTCTCTCTCTCCCTCTTCTCTTACTTGCCTGTTCCTGGACTGACACAGTCCTTCCCTGCCTTTGACCCTGCAGCCTGGAGTTATGTGGCTGTATGGCCCCCCTCACCGTTCCTCAGTCTGTAGGTCTAGGCAGGTGACATTGCCCTATTGTACAGAGCTCCTGGTGAGTAGGGCTCTGCCCCATCCGTCCTCTAGATTATCTACCCTGGAGGACTCACACCATAGTACGTGCTTAATAAATGTCTACTGGATGAATTAATGAAGGTGGGGTTGGGGAGACTGACCAATGCCCATGCAGCCCACGATGCCCAGCAGGGAACCGGACATGTGGTAGAGTGGGAGGGCGAGGTAGATCACATCTTCCTGGTGGACACCACACAGCTGATAGAAGCCCTGGCATTGCAGGATCTTCAGATGACTGATCCGAGCAGCCTTGGGGAGGCCTGTGGGGTGGCAGTTATGGGACGATCAGGGGAAGGGCAAACTCCAAGCTCTACCTATCTGTTTGCACCCCCGCTGGGTTTCCCACAGAAAGAGGCGGAGGCAGGACAGAAGCTGAGGACCGAGACCAGGCTGTCCTGGAAATATGGGTGGTCTGGGGGAGGTGGAGAAATGAGTAGGAGGTGAGGAGACTGGGGAGTGAAATGATGGGGAGAAAAAGGATGTGCCAATGAAATCAGCATCCTCTCTGGGGGCTTTGAAGGAGTGGTCTGGGAGCAGACCCCTGCCTTCCTCTGCCTTGGTTTCGGGGAGCTAAGTATGGTGCCCGGCCCTCACCCGTGGTGCCAGAGGTGAAGATGTACAGGCACGTGTCTGTTATGCTCTGGGGGGAAGAGAGGTATCCTGGCACTGGCCCATCCACTTCAGCGGACACTTCAGCCAGCAAATCGCTAATTCCAGCAGGGTGGGTTCCTGGGCCTGCAGCCCACAGGTGGAGCCCCATGGCTCTCAGGGCGGGCAGGTCCGGCTCCAGGGACTCCAGAAACTCTAGAAGGGTGGGAAAGCACAACGCCGGGGCCCTGGCTCTACCTAGAAGAGCCTATGACCCATGTCCCCTCCCTATCCCAGCCCACACTGCTCTTGGATGAGGGTGAAGGGTATGGACATTCCATCTTGGGTCTGAGGCCTGGAACTCGACTCCTTGGGGATCCTTGGGGCACCAAAGATTCAGCCTCATCCCTTCTCAAACCCGGAGACTCCTATCTCCACCCACTTTCGAACCCCAAGGGATAGTCGGCTTCTTCCCAGGCCCAGGGATGAGACCAAGCCTTTCTGTGGTCTCCGACACGCCCCCTTCTGTGGCTGGCCCCGCCTTAGTCAGTTCGGAGCTCCAGCCTTACCTGGCGCCAGCACCAGCGCGCGCGCGCCGCAGCTGCGGAGGCAGTGCAGCAGGGGGCCCCGGCGCAGGGCGGTGGGCACAAAGGCAGTGCGCAGGCCGGCCTTGGCCAGCCCGAACCAGAGCCACAGAAACTCTGGGCCAGCGGGGAGGAGCAGCGCCACAGTTGCTCCAGGTGACAGAGGGGCGGCGGCTCCTCCACCTCTGGCGGCACCGTCCCCTCCGGCAAACTCCGCGCCGCTTCCGGCCGCTGCATCTCCGGCTCCCGGCGCTGCCCGCTCGCCTTCTCCAGCGCTCCCCTCGCCGCTGTCGCCGCCGTCGGGTCCCCAGTCCCAGCCTAGCGCACGTAGGAAGGCGCGTGCAGCCCTGTTACTCTCGCGCTCCGCCTCTGAGTAGCTAAAGCGCCGCGAGCCGTGAATGAGAAAGGTGTGCGCGGCGCGCTGCTGGGCCAGTTCCGCGAGGCGCCAGGCCAGGCTGCAGCCCCCCTCGGGACCTTCCGGGTCGGCGGCAGCCGCGGCCAGGGCGCGAGCTCGAAGAGCCCTTTTGCAGCACAGAGCTCGCACCGCAAAGGCCAAGTCCGCCGGAAGCCAGCGCAACTGCGGCCAGAGGTGTAGCTTCAGCAGCAGCAGCGGTAGCAACAGCAGCAGGGGCAGCAGCAGGAGGGCAGCCATGGAGCCCGCTTCCTCTATCGGCACCGTCTGGTTCCAGCCGCTCGCAAACATCCCTGATCCTCCCTTCCGAAAACCTAGGGCCGCTCGTTCTAGCTGAGACTTCTCCTTCCAGGGAGCGCGCGTGCGCTGGCACACGCCCATTCCCACCCAGGCCCCCACCACTCCACACGGGCGGAGAGCAGAAACCCGGGAGGAGTGCGGGTGTGGGGCGGCCCCGGACTCCCAGCCCTCCCCCCACAGCCTACGCTCCGCCCTAGGCGCGCTCCCTCCCGGACTGCTCGCGGCTCGCACCCTACCAGGTCCTGGGCGGTGCTCGCGCCTTCCCTGAATCCCAGGGTTATGTCTGTCTTCTAAGTTGTTTCTCGGCTTGGGCGGTTTAGGCATCTGGCTAAGCCCTAGAGTCCAGGCCTGAGAGCCAGGGCGTTTGGATCGCAGTCCATCTTCCCCTCAATATTTCTCGTTTTCCCGTTAAGGGAAGGTACCATTGCTCTCTCCCAAAAGAATGAACTTGGCCCCTGGCCCATTTGGTTCTGCAAGTCCCGGCCTGCCAGCCGCAACCCCAGGGGATGGGTGGGGGCTGAGAGTTAAATAGGGGAAAGGTGGAAACCCAGACTGCCAGATTTCTGAGGGGTCACGACAGAGGCCCCTCCCTTTGGGCAAGGGTACAATAATTGGGGCCAGCCAGCAAATGCTCTCCATCCTGGTTTTAATTGGGACAGAGGAAACTGGGGAAGGAGAGAGGAAGGAAAAAGAAGCCTCCAGTGGTTTAGACTTTCAAAGGAAGCAACAGCAGTGATGAGGGAGGGGAGAACCTGGATTCTGTAAAAAGACAAATTTTCGGGGTGAAGAGGAGCAGCTCTGTGCAGTTCGCCCAAACTTCACTCCTCAGTCCACCTCCATTCTCCCTGGACAGCGGGGGAACAACAGCATAGCCAAGGAACTCTCCTCTGCTGGTTCACATGGCCCAGCAAGTGGCCACACTGTGGAAGGAAGAGCATCTCTGTCCCTCCCTGGTATCCAGACTTTATCTCCAGGTACAGTTGTCCCTGGAGACCAAGCTGGAGCATCCCTCCCGTCAAGCAGCGAGTCCTCCGGCCATTCTTGGTAGGCACACAGACTTCAACTGGAGGATGACAGACCTTTTGGAAGCATCTTGTTTCTTGAGAAATGAGTAAGGACAGGCCTCATCCTACGGGGGATGGTTCTGCATAGACAGATCAGTGCCTGGCTCCCACCTCCAGTGGCAGCAGGAAGGATGGGTAGTGGCCAAAGCCAAGTCCCTTCTGCTCTAGACAAAAGTGGGGGCAGAACAGGAAGGGAAAGGGGGATGTTCTGCGGTTACAAGTAGGGGTGCCAATCAAATCAAGACCAAGCTATACATGCACGGGGCAAATGCCAGCAGACACTCCAGCACAAAAGACATTCTGGCTTGTTTTATTGTCATTTAAAAACAACTTTTAAGACACGATTATCTCTGCCAAAAAAAAAACAAAAAAAAACAAAAAAAAAAACAGACTCAAGGAAATGGGATCATTTGACAATTCTGTGAAACTTGCCTCTGGGACTCCCTGGGCTCTGGTGTAGATTGAGGTGCCAACCTCAGACCAACCTAAGCCTCCAGGGCACACCACGTGGGGCTGTGGCCACCCTTTCAGACTCCTTTCTGAATGCTTGTGGCATCTGCCCCATGATTAGGAATGGACACCCTGACCACGTCATAGATGCCCATTTCACACTGGCATGTGGATAGTGACTATAAAACGTCCCTTCAGAACAAACCAAGACCTGAAGGGGAAGCAGGAAGGGACACCCACACACTGAGTCTCTGCTCTCATCCTAGCTTATCTGGCCAGCTGCCCCTTTGTCATTTCCCTTCTCTGTTGAAATGGCTCTTTGGGAGACTGGGGGAGGAGATTGCGGAAGGGGCCAGGGGGCTGAGGACTTCCACTATGGTCTGATTTTACAGAGCCTCTGGCTTCAGTCAGATCCCAAATATCACTGGGAACAGCAGTGTGAGGGGCTGGAGGCCCCAGGAGGAGGGAAGGGGCTAGGGGCTGCATGGCAGCTTCTCAAACTCAGCCAGAGGAGAAAGCTCCTCCTTCCACCGGGGGAGCTTGGGGATGCAGCAAGGGTGTTTCCCCTGCAATCTCCTCAGCCTCTATTAACCTTTGAATCACCAAGAAGGAGAGGGCAGTCCAGCCGGGGGTGGGATGGGGAATGCAGGGCCTCAGTCACTGTCAGAGCCCACTGCAGAGGACCCTTTTCGTTTCCGCTTGGTAGGCTTCGGTTTCGTGTCTTCCTCTTCCTGGAAGAGATGGGAGGGGAAATGGGAAGTTAACAGCCTGGGCAGCTGCTGGCGCCGACTCCACCTGCACCCAGTGCTCCTTTTCCCCCTGTGCACTGGCTGGGTTCTCACTGAAGCACTGCTGGAGCCCGACTCTTCTTCGGCATTGGGGGGCTGTGTGGCATTCTTTCGACTTCGAGGGCTGGACAGAGCTGCTTTTCGCCGGCTCTTGGGTGGCTTGGTGGAAGAGTCCTCATATTCCTCCGCCAGGGAGAAGAGATCACTGAATCTAAGGAAAAGGAGCGGTAGCTCTTTGAGTGGGAGCCTGCTGCTCCTACGGCACCTCCCATCCTCTTCTCTGCCCCCAGGCCTAGGCCTTCTTTTTCTTCAACCCTGGACCCTAAGGTCTTGCTGGCCATTACGTTTATGTCCCTAGCAGGCTTCCTCTCCCTTAGGCTTTTCCCCTACTACTTTCCAAGGCCCAAAGTGGCAGGAGCCTCACTTCATCTTGTGGGCTTCGTCACAGCTCGCTTGGACATGCTGCAGCGCCTGGAGAATTGGCGTCTGGCTAAAAACTAGAGGAAGAAAAGGGAGAGCAGGGAAGGAAAAACAATCAGATGTCTGGGAGCTTATTAAACAGCACGCACAGGTTGTTTTATCCCGAGTGTGGGTTGTGGCCCCGGGTGTCCTGCCCCTGCCCCCAGCCTGGCTCCAGGCATAGTCTGGGCCAGGGCAGCACCGTCTACACTGGACGCCGAGGGTGGAAGGCATACAGTTCTGCTTGGTGTTGGTCAGGTTGAGCCGCAGATTGTCCAAGTGCTCCAGGATCTGCTCCAGAGTCAGCTGGGCCAGCTTGCTGCTAGAGCTCCTCAGGCTGTGCAGGAATCACCAGAGCCAGAGTCTGAGTGTGGGAGGGTTCCAGAGTGCGAGACACCCTCCACCCGCCAGGGCCCCCTTAAGACAGAGGCAGCCTACATGGGGAACAGGATAGGCAGCCTGGGAGGGCTGGGGTTGGGTGAGAAAGGTGTGCCTAGAACAGGGGATCCTGGCCACAGGGGCACTGGAAGATGGGGAGAAAGGGCCACGGTGGTCTCGCATGCCATGTGGCTTCGGACCACTAGATGTCGCCCACAAACCAGGCTGGGACAGCACTGACCCCCATCACCACCACCACCACCACCACCACCACCACCGACAGCAATCACTGCAGACCGCCATGGCCTGGAGGGTAGACAGGGACCGTGTCCCACCTCTGTCTCTTGCGAGGCAGGCTGTTGTTCTTGATGAGCAGGGACTTGATGTGCTCGGCCAGCAGCTCGTCATGTTTCATGCACCAGTGCCGCAGGATGCTGGTGGTGAACTGGTCGTCAGGATGGCAGGGCCGGCTCAGCACCATCTTCACCATCTCCTCGCTGGGCCTGGGGGAGGAAGGGGGCACTGGGTGCTGCTTGCACAGTGGCCGCAGGGCATGCTGGGTCTCTCCCACTTATTTCCCAAGCCCTGGCCTCCCCACCCACCCACTACTCTCACATCCCTCTCCCTCTTCTCCTTAGGCCAAGGAATGCCTGGTTTCATCCTCTGTGGAAGCCAGGAGAGAAGAAGTGAGATTCTTCACTTGCTGTGGTAGGAGAAGGCGTGTGCGTGTGTGTGTTGGGAAGGAGGACCCTCAGTTCTCCTCCTCCTCCCCTAGAACAGTCAGGGAGTGGGCCTGGGAGGCAGAAGCACAAGCATGTGGCATGCAGATGCTCCCCTACCCCTACCCTGCTAAAGCTGTGGGCCAACCTGGCTTCCAGCTGGAGGAAGGGGGCAGGAGAGGGTTGTGAAGTCACAGCCCCATACAGCCTCCAAGCTTCCCACTTCCTCTAGGACACTCTGTACCATTTATAGTCTCTCAGGCAAGAGAGCAGAAAGGGTGGAAGGAAGGCAGAAAGGTAGGAAGGATAAGATACACAGCTGCTGCCCCATTTATCGGGGGATGTTGCTAAAGGGCTTTGCGGGAAGAGGGGGCTGCCACCCTCTCCCTCTCTGCCCCACCCTGTCAAGGCACAGTAGGTCCAGCTGGCTCTGCTCTGCACAGGGTGAGGGAGAGGATGGTGCGTGACCCCTCTACCCTGACCCTCCCTCCTCTTGGATTAGCTGTGCGGTGGCCAGCAGGAGCATGGGGCGGTGGGGGGGGCGCGGCGGGGAGCAGGAGCCACCAGGGATTAGAACTGCTGTGGCAGCAGGAAACAGGGATGTCCGGTCCCCACCTCCCCACCTCCGAGGGCAGCTCCTGGTGGGCAGGGGGGTAAAGTCGAGAGGAAGCCCAGATCCCAGGGGAGCTGCTCATTTGTAAGTCACGTTGGGGGAAGGGCAGAATAAGCAGATGTTAACGACAGGAAAAAATATGGCAATAAGGAGGAGGACAGAAGCCCTTTAGACCACAGCAGCTCTTGGGATGTTAAAATTGAGGGCTAAAGAGCCCCAGAAGTGGAACTCACTTTTCTCTTCGGAGTTGAAGCAGTAGGCAGGACAGGGCCTCTGGGTGCTCTGTGAGGGAAGGGCAGAGGCTGTTCAGGGGGAAGGTATGATTCCAGGATGGAATCTGGGGACCTCTCTCATCCCCCAACAGCCACTGGAGGGAATAAGGACAGTCTTTGATGAGGAGCCAGGAAGAATCCCCTACCCCACTCCTATCAGTCCCTGAGCCACCTGAGCCCCAGCCCAGAGCCTGGCTCATGGTGGGCCCACAGGACTCACCTAAAGAACAAAAGTGGCTGACAGAGAGCCTGCCCTTGTGCACTTTGGTGGGAAGGAGGACAATGGATCTGGGCTCATCCTAGAAGCCTAGAGGCCTCAGCCTTGCCCTAACTGTATAGGAAGTGTCATATCTGATGTGCTCCCTACCCAAAAGCCTACTCACCCTTGTATTTGAGGTGCTGCAGGATGGGGATTATGGTCTCCAGGGGAATATTGTGGGCCAGAAAGAGCTGCCAGGCACAATACTGCTCAAAGGTCTCCCAGTCTAGGCTCTGAACTGGAAGAGACAAAAGAAACATCTCTCTCAAGAATGAACAAACGAACACACACACACACACACCCCCCCCACCCCCCCATCCACTGACTACCAGCACACACACACACACACACACACACACACACACACACACACACACCCCAATCCACTGACTACCAGCACCCCAAGCAGGGATGTTACAGAGGTAGGACAGATCCAGAAAGATACTGCCCCAGACCGCACCAGGGTGGAGTACAATTCTCTCCCCTTAACTTCCCAGCCCCAGAACCAGCTTTCCTGATAGTGTAAAATACACAGGACTGACACCCTGCCCTCCTCTCCTCTCCCAGGCACCTAAAGATTTGATCACTTACTGAGTATGTTGAGAACTGAGTCTTTTCGAAACATAACCAGGTTACCCATCATCACGTGGCAGACCAGCTCCTGGAGCTAAGGAGGTGGAGGAAGGAGGCAGAACCCATCAGCTCTGAAAGGGGCCAGGAAGCTAGTATGGAGGGGGACGCAGGAGGGCTCGTAAGGGAAAAAAAAAAATTAGAGGAAGTGAAGGCCCAGTTTAAAGGAATGGGAAGGAGATGGCACACAACGAATGCTGCCATCTCTGAAGGATGAAGGGGCTGATAAAGTAAGGCCTGAGTGGGAACCTTAGGACTATTTTGGGCAAAAATAGTTACAGCCTTGGTCTAAGCCTGAGGAGGAAAGGACCCTGAGAGGCTGGGCTCTGGATGTAGGTTGGGCAGGGTAAAGACAAAGGAAGGAGGATTCTTGGGTGCTAAGCTTCCTCTTTTATGAATGAGAACTAAGTGGAGAGGAGGAGAAATGGGATCCCAGTGCAGGCCTCAGAAGGACCCGAGCAAAGCTACAGCCTCTTGGGGACCTTATGCATGGTAAAAAGGTCAAGTAGAAATGGTCTGACCATTTTCATTCCGAGCCAAAGGAAAGGCCAGTTGAGAGCTAAAATCACAACCCCCTCAGCTTTTGCTGTGGAACAGGAGTGCCCAAAGAATATGGAGAATAAGGGGAACTCCAGGCAGGATTGGCCTAACCTCAGCCTGCCTTGCTTGTGTTCCACTTTTCCTTCCCAGGCCCCATGGCTGAAAGCGCACACCACTGTAGCCAGGAGGGAGGGTGCCTGGGAGGCATGGGCTCCCTGTCTGCAGGCCTGGAGGGAGAGCAGAGGCCCTATGTCCCTAATGCTGCCTCCCAGATCTTCTGGGGAGGTCAGAGCTCAATGTTCACCTGTGCAGAGTCAATAACAGCCACGATCATGTTCAGCAGCTCTCCGCTCCTCAAGGTTTCATCTGGAAACTAAATGGAAAAAGAGAGGGGAAGAGTCCTGGATGGGCTCCTCAGCTTTTATCCCATAGCCCACTCTCCTTCCTTATTACATCTCAAGGTTTGACTGGGTCAGCCAGACACAGGCCCTAAAATAAACCCCTAAACAGAGATCCAACAGCTATGATGCTGGAAGACTTCAAGAACTTGAAGCCCCCAAGTTTTGTTATTTATGTGTGCACACCATCAGGGGTGTGGGTTTTCTCTGATACTTCCCAAAGCATGTGTGTACAGAAAGGAATGGGGAACTACTAGAGATAAAGCCAGAGCTGAGAGGACTGGCCATGGTGGCTGATTCTGTGTGGGAGCAGTGGTAGAATAAATATTTGCATCCCTGGCAGCAAAGAAGTCCAACCTGTGCTGACCTTTGGCCAAAGAGGTGGTGTAGAGAGTTTATGTCTGGAGGTGTGTGGGGTAGGCAGGGCCTCATCTAGAGAAGGGGGAGGAAAGTACCCTGTGTCCAGGATCTGCACCCCTCCTCCCTCCAGTACTCGGCTGAGATCACAGTTCCTCCTGTCATGCCCTGGGTCCTTATTTCCCTCTTCCTGGGAACTTCTACCAAGAGGAGAAAGGGCCGATACCTGTTATGTCCCAGTTCCTAGAGTGTGAGTGAACCAGGGGAAATGAAAGTGAGTCTCCACTACAGAAGCCCTGGTCATCAGGAACTATCAGAGAGAATCCAAGCAAGGGTGAGCCATCAGAGGACAAGAGGGCCTGGGACATATGAACATGGATCTGGTTTGTGGGATCTGTCCTGGGTCCAGATGATGGGGCCCAATCTGAGAAGCCAAGTATATAGGCTCAGACCCCAACGCACATCAGTTACACCAAAGTATAGGAATTCAGGGAGTTTTAGAAATGTTTCAACCACTAATAAAGAGAAGTGGAAGGAGGGGACAGCTGTGAGTGTGGGAAGCAATGGCCCACCTAGGTTAGTGGGGATGAACAAAAGAGGGTTCAGGGTTGTGTGTACTCAGAGTGTTCACTGAGGTGTGTTCCTGTGAGCCCCCCGGCACAGATACGGATGCAGGCACTGACCTCTGTGTAGATGGAGGGCGTGAGGTGGCACAGGAGCCGCACATCGTCCTCCTGGCAGGCCTTCATGTCCATCATCAGGCAGGTGTGCAGATCGCCCAGCTGGGTAGCCTGGGCAAATGACTCGTACAGGTTCATCTTCCCTGCGGCGGCTTTGCTGCAAGACCAGCTGGGCCTGAGCCAGCAGCCTGACCCCAGTGCCCACCTTCAAGCATCCCCGAAGCAGGCTCCCGCTCTAAAACTGCTTTGCTGGCTCCAGATGCCCTGTGCTAATCTGCCTCATGTCCCTCCCAACTGCCTCCCACAGGGGCTTGATAACTCAGGGGAACCAGGGGATACTCTTCTTTCTGTCCATCCTTCCCCAGAGCTCAAAAGGGCTCCAACCACGATCAGTGAGTGAAGCTACTGCCGGATGAGAGTCAGGAACAGAAGAGGGAGGGCTCAGGTCAGGCTGGAGAAGGCTTTCTCTCTTGCTTTCTGGGCTCTAACCATGAGGGCAGTGACACCTCACAGCATATACAAACTTAGCTCAAAATGGCTTGTAGGCCTAAATGTAAGAATTAAAGCCACACAACTTGTAGAAGAGAAAACAGGAGTAAATCTTCATGACAACAAAAACACAAGTGGTAAAAGAAAAAAATAGACAAATTTAGCTTCATAAAAAGTTAGCACTTTTTGTTCAAAAGATGCTATCAAAAAAGTTAAAACTCGCAGAATGGAAGAAAAAATATTTGCAAATCATTATGTCTGAGACTTGCATCCAGAATATATAAAGAACACTTTTGGTATGCAACAAAATCTTAAAAACATTCTTGAAAGTTGGCCGGGTATGGTGGCTCATGCCTGTAATCCCAGCGCTTTGGGAGGCAGAGAAGGGCGGATCACCTGAGGTCAGAAGTTCAAGACCAGCCTGGCCAACCAGCCTGGCCAACATGGTGAAACCCTGTCTCTACTAAAAATACACACACAAAAAGTTAGCCGGGCGTGGTGGTGTGCGCCTGTAATTTCAGCTACTCAGCAGGCTGAGGCAGGAGAATTGCTGGAACCTAGCATGCGGAGGTTGCAGTGAGTGGAGCTCGCGCCACTGCACTCCAGTCTGGGCAGCAGAGCGAGACTCTGCCTCAAAAAAAAAAAAAAAAAAAATCTTAAAAGTCAATAATAAAAAGACAAATAACTCAATTAAAAATAGGAACATTTTTGAATAGATATTTCTCCAAAGAAAATATACAAATGGCTGGGCCCGGTGGCTCACGTCTATAATCCTAGTACTTTGAGAGGCCGAGGTGGGCAGATCACCTGAGGTCAGGAGTTCGAGACCAGCCTGGCCAACACAGTGAAACCCCATCTCTACAAAAAAATACAAAAATTAACTGGATGTGGTGGCGTGCACCTGTAGTCCCAGCTACTCGGGAGGCTAAGGCAGGAGAATTGCTTGAACCCAGGAGGCGGAGGTTGCAATGAGCTGCGATCATACCACTGTACTCCAGCCTGGGTGACAGAGCAAGAATCCATCTCAAAACAAACAAATAAACAAAACAAAAATTAGCTGGGCGTGAAGATCTGTGCCTGTAATCCCAGCTACTCGGGAGGCTGAGGCAGGAGAATCGCTTGAACCTGGGAAGCGGAGGTTGCAGTGAGCCAAGATCGCACCACTGTACTCCAGCCTGGGCGACACAGCGAGACTCTGTCTCAAAAAAAAAAAAAAAAAAAAAAAAGAGAAAGAAAAAAGCAAGTCACAAAAGATCACATACAGTTTGATTCCATTTATCTGAAAATGTCCAAAATAATCTATAGAGGCAGAAAGCAGATCAGTGGTTGCCAAGAGCTGGGTGAAGGGGAGAAAATGGCAAAGTGATTGCTAATGAGTATGAGATTTCTTTTTGGGGTGATAAAAATGTTCTTTCTAAATCAGATAGTAGTGATAGTTGTATAACTTTGTGAATATACTAAAAAATTATTGAGGCCGGGCACAGTGGCTCACACCTGTAATCCCAGCACTTTGGGAGGCCAAGGTGGGTGGATCACCTGAGGTCGGGAGTTCGAGACCAGCCTGACCAACACAGAGAAACCCTGTCTCTACTAAAAATACAAAACTTAGCTGGGCGTGGTGGTGGGTGCCTGTAGTCCTAGCTACTTGGGAGGCTGAGGTGGGAGAATTGCTTGAACCCGGGAGGTGGAAGTTGCAGTGAGCTGAGATTGTACCACTGCACTCCAGCCTGGGTGACTGAGTGAGACCCTGTCTCAAAAAATAAATAAATAAAAATTTAAATTAAAAAAAAGCCTTAGGAGTACACAAGGCTTACTCAGAGTAGGGGAAAAAAAAACCCAAAACCAATAACTGGGCGTGATGGCGCATGCCTGTATGTAATCCTAGCTACTCAGGAGGCTGAAGCAGGACCATCACTTGAGCCCAGGAGTTTGAGACCATCCTGGGCAACAAAGTAAGACCCTGTCTCTACAAAAAAATTTTAAAAAATTATCTGGGCATGGTAGTGCATGCCTGTGTAGTCCCAGCTACTCAGGATGCTGAGGGGGGAGGATGGCTTGAGCCCAGGAGTCTGAAGCTGCAGTGAGTGACATGCACTGAGCCGCAGTGTCATCAGGTGACAGAGTGAGATGCTGTCTCTTAAAAACAAACCAACTCAACCAAACAGACCCACAAAGAAGGCCCTGGTGATGACAGTCCAGGGTTGGGGAGTCAGCGTGTGGAAGAGAGGCTCTCCAGGATGTGTCCTGACACCATTTGAAACATGGGGACCATACCCACCTGGCCCTCAGGTAGTAGAGCAGGTGGTAGCCAATCTTGGGCTGCTTCTGATATAGCTCGGAGAGAAGGTCTAGAAGTAGAGAGAAGCTGCTGTTGTCTTCCTGCATCTGACATAGGTTCCTGGAGGTGGGGCATGGGAGGAGAGGAACAGAACTTTACCCAGGGCAGACTCTCCCATGGAGTTTCTCAGGTGGCATGGGCTGTCTGTGCCCACAGCATATGTCCTCCTCCCTGGAAAGCGAGTCCCATTACCCCAGGACAGGAGCACATGTGTGTGCTGTCAGGGAGGATGGAGGGTAGAACAGTATCTCCTATAGCTGCGTGCTTACCTAAATATTAGGTACAGAGGCTTTCCTACAGACTCCTCCAGGGACCTACAAGAAGAGGGTTATATTTGAGAATCCATGTGAGGGGGGCTGCTGGCACATACGGAGGACCAGCTGGAGGCTAGACACCAGCCTGCTCCTTCCCTACCCAAAAGGCAAACTTCCTGCTGCTCCGCAGGCTTGGTAACAGAGAAAACAGGTTCCTAACATGGGACCACGCTCTTGCCCTTTGGAGACAGGCTCCAGGCCAAGGTCCAATCACACCTAATTCAGCAGATTAGAGTTACTGGGCCCAGCAGCAAGGGCTGGAAGCATGAGGAGGTGTCAACCTCCCCAGTACGCACGGTGTTCAGCAGGTAGAAATAAGCTCTTGTTTAAATGAGTTGGTACATGTGAGAATAAAAACACCAAGTGAACAGATTTTTCTCAAGTCTACAGTAAGGGGTCTCTTGGACTCAGGCTGTAAGAGCACCCTCTGGCTCCTGAGGCTCTGGAGTGAGGGAAAATCAGCCTTACTCCTCAGTAATCTCCTCAGGCAGGACCTCCCCTCGAAAGTGGGCCTTGAAGAGCTCCTGTAGGCAGGAAGCAAGGACAGACAGCTGCTCCGAGTCAAAGTCTTCCTGGGTGATGAGACAAGGGAGGGAGAGTCACTACCTACACCCAAGCCCTCCTGCCCCCACGATCCCAGTCTTGGAACTCATCTGCTTCCACCTCCAGGATCAGCAAGCTCCCCTCCCCACTATAAGAGGGACTCATCTAGGGGAGGGAAAAAGTGAGTTGTCTTCCCTGGGAGACGTGTAAGCTAAGCAGGCTAGGCTGCTTCCTCCCTAAGGGATTGGGTTCCTCCTCACCTCCAGGACCTGGTCCACAATTTCCTGCATGACCTCACACTGGGCCTCCGTATCACTGCAGGACAGAAATGAGAGGAAATCCCAGGGACATAAATGATAGCAGAGGGCAGGACACACACCCAGAACAGTGCACAAGCACACTCACATGCACAGAGACAAAACAAAGGAGCTCTGTGTAAAATCCCAGCTTGGATGGGGAGGCTTTAGGGCAGAATTGGCTGCTCTCTGGGCAGAGGCCCAAAGAAAAGGAAAATCCCCACCAATCCTGCCTTGGTTCTCAGAGGTTCTTCTCCCAAGAATCTGCAGAGTGGGAACTCAAGGTGTTACGGAATGAGGCTGCCCCACTCCCAGCTCATACTCCCTAACGTAAAGTGCAGAAGAACTCCCTCATGAAGCTTCAGCTACCTCTCCACACACTCCTATCATGTTTGCCTCCAACCCCCATCTCCTGCTATACCCATTAAGCACCAGGTAGAGAGCCTGGGGCTGAACCTCCTGAAGTTGAGAACAAGGTCTGTACCCACCTCCCCTTCTGTAGCTGGAGTACTTTGTCCCTCAGGGACTCATCCAACTGGTCAAGGTAAGGGGTGATATCAACTGGCTCCTCCACAACTGTCTCCTTGATAGGGTGGAAGCGAAACTCCCTCTTCTTTCCTAAAGGGAGTGATTTGGGAAAGAAGTCAGTTTGCCCAGATGCCAGCAACAGAGACAGTCCCCTCAATGACTTATCCCCTTCCTCACATGCCCTAAGTGTGCACCTGTTTCCTCAATGCTGTGTGAGTGCCTGAAGCATCTCCCTGACTGTGCACATGTACTAGCTCTTACAAGCAAACAAGGGCAGGAACCACTTCTTTTTTCCTTCCTGCCTTGAGTGTTAAGTACAGGGCTCTGCATTCTGGAGTCTCATCCAGATACCCTGTGAACAAAACTTTAACTCACAGGAATAAGGGTGACAGGAAGAGTGCAGAGAGGCTGCTTCTGGGAACTGGTCCTCTCAGGGCTGACACAACCCTGAACTAGCCCTTGCTGATGGCCTCACCTTTGCTGTTGAGATCCTCTTCATCGTCACTGAAGGCTGCCTCTGCATTGTCATAGCAACTCTCATCCTTATCCGACATATGGTTGTCCATCTCCATGGAAACTGGCTCCTCAATTTTGACTTGGGAGTAAAAAAAGATAAGGCATTTAATGGCCTCCTGGGTCCTCTAACATGCCCCATGCTTCTAGGAAGGGAGAATGGAGGGCAAGTGAGAGAATAAGGAGTTTATCATCTAAATGGAATACTGACCCTGGGAGGACAAACCTCTTGACAAACCTCTTGTCCTCACAACCCTCCATGACCTGCAGAGGGATGTTGCCAGGAATAAGAGCAACACTGGACATGACTCCTCTATGCTCAGCTCATTAGGATTGGTAACTAGAGTAAGATCAGGGACAGTCCGAAGTGCTAGTCTCACTCTTGTCGCCTGGGCTGGAGTGCAGTGGCGCCATCTCGGCTCACTGCAACCTCCCCGTCCCAGGTTCACGTAATTCTCATGTCTCAGCCTTCTGAGTAGCTGGGACTACAGGTGCCCGCCAAATACAAATTTTTTTGTATTTTAGTAGAGACGGAGTTTCATGATGTTGGCCAGGCTGGTCTTGAACTCCTGACCTCAAGTGATCCACCCGCCTCAGCCTCCCAAAGTACTGGGATTACAGGCATGAGCCACCATGCCCAGCCTCCAAGTGCTCTTTAATTTAAAACCAAGTTGGAAAATACTACTTGACTTAGACCCTTATCCCAAAACAAAGTGTGTATGTGTGGTAAGGAGATGGCAGTTGTATTGAGAGTAAGGTTTGAGGCCCAACATGACAAACTGTCATCAGAGGCCAGGGCCTAGAGCTGGGAAGAGAGATGGGCAAGTTAAAGTGAGATAAATATTGTAAATATTACATGAAAGCCTTCTAACTACTGAGCAGGAGTTACTAGGAGAAAAGAGTTAAGAGAACAAGAAAGATGAGCAAGTCAAATAAGATTAGATAAAGCAAGAGAATCAAGACAGACAACACAAAAATGAATAAAAAAGATAAACTGAGGAAGGAAAAACTGTGATGGACAGTGTCACGGAAGTGGAGAACTGTGTGGGACATCCTGAAAGGGGCTCTGGCCTGAAGGCCTGGTTGTCTTGCCCCTCTTTTGACACAGGTGATGGAATGGGCGGGCCTCATACCTTCCACAGGTGGGGAGGGTGAGCTGCAGAACTCAGGAAACTTCTCTCTCAGCATTGCCCGCAGCTCCTTATCCAACTTAGGGTTGTCAAACAGGGGAGCTAGGTGTCTAAATGGGGAACATGATGAAGGTCAATATCAGAGCTTCTCTTATTTTTATTTTTTTTTGAGACAGAGTGTCACTCTCATCACCTAGGCTGGAGTGCAGTGGCACAATCTCGGCTCACTGCAACCTCCACCTCCCGGATTCAAGCGATTCTTGTGCCTCAGCCTCTCAAGTAGCTAGGATTACAGGTGTGCACCATCACACCTGGCTAATTTTTGTATTTTTAGTAGACACGGGTTTTGCCATGTTGGCCAGGCAGGTCTCAAATTCCTAACCTCAGGTGATCTGCCCACCTTGGCCTCCCAAAGTGCTGGGATTACAGGCATGAGCCACTGTGTCTGGCCAGAGCTTCTCATTTCTAACTCAACATGGAGTTGAGATAGGTCTAAGCACAATCAGTCTAACTGGACCATACTCAGATCCCTGAAGGGGGTCAACAGGGAACATGAAGGCATTTGAAGACCTTTGTAATACGATGGCAGGAGAGAAATTCCTCTAAGAGCCAAGAAGACATATGCCCAGCAGTCTGAGGTAGAGCCAATACTTTTTACACCTGTCAGAGAAAAGGGCCAGCAGTGCTATGGCAACATTTGGATACACCTGGACCTAATGAAAAATGGGAAAACAACCTCCTTCCCCCACCAAATTCCTTACGCCAAGACCCGTTTCTCCACAATGTGGTTGAGGGAGGAAAAGACACCCTGCCGCACGTGGCCCTCCAATGGTGGATAGAAGTTGGGAATGATCTGGAAGCGAAGAAGGAGGGGAAAAATGAGCACAGGACTCCATCCAGAGGCTTCCGCTGAATTAGATCTGAAAAGCTGCTTTGGTTTTGATCAGGGGACACTGGGGAGTATGGCTGCAGAGAGAACTGGACTTCCTGACCACTCCAGGCCACTCAAATGAGAAATTCTTACTGGACCTGGCTGCTCCCCAAGGAAACCAGATTCTACCTTGAGTCACCATCCTTGTGATTGAGAAACCCCACAGAAAATGGGAAGATCCAAGTGCAGACAGTGGAATATGGAAGGGAAGCATTTATTAACTTGGGGGATAGGACCCATGACCATTTCTGCTCTCAGTCAAGGCATACCGAGAAGACCCGTTCACTGGGAGATTAGGGGAGATACACTGAATTCTGCTCATCCAGGCATGGGGAGAAAAGAGAGCTCTAACACTTACGCGGCACATGAAGTCCAGGAGTGTGGCAGTGATGGCTGGGTGGGGCTTCATGGAGTGGTGCATGACCAGGATGGCTGGTTCTGGAGGATGTGAAATTAAAGAGCCCCTCACATCAGTCAGTCTCTCTCTCTCTTTTTTTTTTTTTTTTTTTTTTTTTTGAAACAGAGTCTTGCTCTGTCACCCAGGCTGGAGTGCAAATGGTACGATCTCAGCTCACTGAAGCCTCTGCCTCCCAGGTTCAAGCGAATCTCATGCCTCAACCTCCCCAGCAGCTGGAATTACAGGTGTGCGCCACCACGCCAGGCTAAAGTCAGTCTGTTTCTATCTCCATAAAATGGGATGTCAATATACATGAATGGCTCTGGGAAGTGCTATGTCTATTCCCCCCATTTCCACTGAGCAGACCCAAGAGCAGACAGGCCCCGAAACAGCTTGTAGCCCTCATTTCCCTTCTTGTTCCCAGCATTCAGCTTTGAGAAGGGAAGTAATAGGTGAGGAGAAGCAGGACATGGTACAGCCTTTTCCTTTGCCCATGCCCTCCCCTCCTGAAGACCATGCATCCTGAAGACTGTGGGGAGGAGGTACAGTGATGGCTTAGCCTTATCAAAGCAATTCTCTTTCTAGGTCAAGGGAAAACTGATGAGGAACAACAGAGCTGCTCCCAGATAAACTGCCTCCACTCCACGGTGCCCTGAGATTTATGACTGCTATCACTAAGGAAGGCAGTGGGGGCTTAGGGGGATGGGGAAGTGGAGCCGCCTGGTCTTGGTCACATACCTATGTTCATAATGCTATCCTTGTCTGGACTAAAGAACAGCCAGTCATAAAACAAAGCCAGCTTGGCATTGGAGGCAGCGACATTTGACTGGAAAAGAGAGGGGAGAAACAGAGGGCTAGTTTCATCAATCACCCCCCTCCATTTCAGAGTCCCAAGACAGATTCCAGGCCCCACTTGGCTGTTTCATCTATGAAATTCAGTTCCTAGTGAAACACGGTGAAATGCTAACCCCCCTTGTGTTGTGTATGAGTGAATACTCTGTGGTCTTATGGTCTTAACCAAGAGGACAGAGGACAGGGATTGGGCCAGGTACCCCCCGAACCTTTTTTTTTTTTTTTCCAGACAGGGTCTTGCTCTGTTGCCCAGGCTGTAGTGCAGTGGCATGATCTCAGCTCACTGCAACCTCCACCGCCCAGGCTCGAGAGAGCCTCTCACCTCAGCCTGGGACTACAGGCACGCACCACCTCACCTGGCTCATTTTTCTATTTTTTTGTAGAGATGAGGGTCTTGCCATGTCACCCAGGCTGGAGCGCAGTGGCATGATCACGGCTTACTCCAGCCTTGACCTCTTAGGCTCGGGTGATCCTCCCAGCCTCAGCCTCCTTGGTAGCTGGGACTACAGGAGCACACCACCATGCGTGGCTTTATGTTTTGTTTTGTTTTGTTTTGGTAGAGATGGGTTTTGCCATGTTGCCCAGGCTGGTCTTGAACTCCTGGGCTCAAGTGATCCTCCCACCTCAGCCTCCCAAAGTATTGGGATTATAGGTGAGAGCCACCATGCCTGGCCAGGCCTGGGTTCTTTTCTTTTTGTTGTTGAGACAGGGTCTGACTCTGTCACCCAGGCTGGAGTGCAGTGGCAGGATCTCAGCTCACTGCAACCTCTACCTCCCAGGCTCAAGCGGTCCTCTCACCTCAGCCTGGGACTACAGCCGCACACCAACACACTTGGCTAATTTTTGTATTTTTTTGTAGAGATGGGGTCTTGCCATGTTGCCCAGGCTGGTCTCAAACTCCTGAGCTCAAGCAATCTGCCCACCTCAACCTCCCAAAGTGCTGGGATTACAGGCGTGAGCCACCGTGCTCGGCAGGCCTGGGTTCTTGATACATCCAGCAGTTCATATCTCTGATTCCCATAGGGGACAATGCTTGGACTCAGAAGTCCACTCATCACCCCTGAGCTGAGGCAACAGTCAGACTAGCACCCCTTGGCTGCCCTTTCTGGGCTCTCCAGGCACATTCCTGAAGAAGAGACCCCCACCCCTCCAGGAATAGCCTGTTGTCATATCTGAATCAGCACATTCCAAGGACCCAGTCAAATGGGGGAGGAGGAACCCTGTTGGAAGAGGTCAGGGGGCAGCCAGATGCCAGAGAATGGATAGTTTCCCACCCTAGGCACAGAGAGGAAAACATTTGAAAGGAAATGCCTCCACTGCAGATTCGCTGCATTTACAGAAGGGAAGTAGACAAAGCTGATGCCAAAAAGGCATGGTGGTGAGGGTCTAAAGAATGCAAGCTCTGAATCTGAGAAAGAAACAGTTAAGAGGAATAGCTGTATATGGTTTCTGGAAGCAAAAATGAAAAAGGCAGGGACGCTCCAGAAACCCAGGCTTTTGGGGGTTGGCAGTAATGGGGGAGATGAACCTGTTCAATCTCAAACCCAGATGGAAAATAATGAGTGTAAGTAAATTTCTAGAGACACAAAGGGAAGTGAAGGCTGAGACACTCTGGAAGACCAGAGTGAAAGAAGGGCCCTTAGGGGTCAAGTGGCCCTGGAGTCAGGAAGAAGAATGGAAACATGGGAACACCATGGAAGAGGCACCCTTCACCACCCAGTATCTTTTGCCCTCACCGTGCACGTTGTCAGGAGCCAACCAATGATGGCCCACCGGGGCAAGATATCTGAACTCAGTACTTCATTAGAAGGGTGGACTACCCCACAGATGTAGCGAATGAGGTCACAGCGCAGAGACTGACTATCTGGAGTTGACAGGTACTGGCGCTGGAACCAATCTTGGTATCGCTTTTGTTGACCAAATCGCACCTGGGGAAAGGGGAAGCAAGAAAAAGACCTTAGAAGACAGTGTGGGGTCCTTGGCCAGAGGAAAACGAGCACCACTTAACTCTAGGTTTGCCCTAGACCTCTATTTCTCCACAATTCATTCATTAGCTCATACTGTCTCGTAAGTCTCCCCTCCTTTAGGAGAACTTCTTGATTAAAAAAAAAATGCTGAAAATTTCTAGCTTGCCCTGCATTCTGATGTTACAGTCATTCTTGCCACTGACCTCAGGCTACATTTACCCCCAACTGCAACTTCAGTCCAGTTTTTGGCTCTTTACTCCTTGCACTGGTCACTGACTCTCCAGTCAGAAGTATAACCTTTTCTCATTTTCTTGAGCCACTGGTGAACAGCAAGAAATGTTCTTCAAGAGTAAGAGCTGGGTCTGTTCACCACTCAACATCAACTGAGAATTTCCTGGTGCTGACCTAGCAGGACCATTATCCAAAGCCTAGACTCTCCAAACCTTCTTGTGGAAAGTTTTTCCTCAAACAGACCCTAAGTGATCACAAATAGTAACACTAAATAAGGAAAAGGATCTGGTTTCCCTCTTCTTATATTCCCCCAACTGTCAGAAGAAATCAACCAAGATAAAGCAAAAAGGTAAAAAAACAAACAAAAAGATACTTCCAGACCAACACCATCCAACAGAACTTTCGGCAATGATGGTTGCTATTATGCATGTGAAATGCAGCTATTGTAACTGAGATATCGAATTATTATTTATTTTATTTTTTTTGAGGCAGAGTTTCACTCTTGTTGCCCAGGCTGGAGTGCAATGGTGCAATCTCAGTTCACTACGACCTCTGTCTCCCAGGTTCAAGCGATTCTCCTGCCTCAGCCTCCCAAGTAGTTGGGATTACAGGCACATGCCACCATGCCTGGCTGATTTTTGTATTTTTAGTAGAGACGGGGTTTCACCATGTTGGTCAGGCTGGTCTCGAACTCCTGCTCTCAAGTGATCCACCCGCCTTGGCCTCCCAAAGTACTGAGATTACAGGCGTGAGCCACCGCACTTGGCCCCAATTATTATTTTTTAAGAGACAGGGTCTCATTGATGGGAGGATTGCTTGAGCCCAGGCTGGTCTCTAACTCCTGGGTTCAAGCAATCCTCCCACCACAGCCTCCTGAGAAGCTGGGATTACAGGCACATGCCACTGCACCAGGCTCTGAATTTTTTTGTTGTTGTTTGAGATGGAATCTCATTCTGTTGCCCAGGCTGGAGTGCAGTGGCACGATCTCAGCTCACTGTAACCTCTGCCTCCTGCGTCTGGGTTCAAGTGATTCTCCTGCCTCAGCCTCCTGAGTAGCTACCACCACACCCAGCTAATTTTTGTATTTTTTGTAGAGACACGGTTTCATCATGTTGCCCGGCTAGTCTTGAACTCCTGACCTCAAGTGTTCCCACCAGCCTCAGCCTCCCAAAGTGCTGGGATTGTAGATGTGAGCCACAGCGCCCAGCTGTGAATTTTTAATTTTAACTCATTTTAACTAACTTAATATATATATATTTTTTGAGACAGCGTTTCACTCTGTTGCCCAGGCTGGAGTGCAGTGGCGCAATCTTGGCTTATCGCAACCTCTGCCTCCTGGGTTCAAGTGATTCTCCTGCCTCAGCCTCCCAAGTAGCTGGGATTACAGGCGTGTGCCACCACGCCCAGCGAAATGTTTGTATTTTTAGTAGAGACGGGGTTTCACCACGTTGGCCAGGGTGGTCCCAAACTCCTGATCTCAAGTGATCTGCCCACCTTGGCCTCCCAAAGTGCTGGGTTTACAGGCATAAGCCACTGCGTCCGGCCAAGAATTTTTATCATACCTAGTCCTGCAGACTAACTTACATTTAAATGGCAACACATGGCTGGTGGCTACCACACAGTAGAACACAGACCTGGACAATTATTCTGGGTGACTTGGGAAAGCTGATTAGGAAAGCAGTTCTCGACAGCCAGACTGGCCGCAGAGGAATGGCCTGGGAAGTCTGCTAAAAACAGATTCTGGCTGGGTGCAGTGGCTCACGCCTGTAATCCCAGCACTTTGGGAGGCTGAGGCAGGTGGATCACCTGAGGTCGGAAGTTCGAGACCAGCCTGACCAACATGGAAAAATCCCGTCTCTATTAAAAATACAAAATTTGCCAGGTGTGGTGCATGCCTGTAATCCTAGCTACTTGGGAGATTGAGGCAGGAGAATCACTTGAACCCAACAGGCGGAGGCTGCGGAGAGCCGAGATCGCGCCACTGCACTCTAGCCTGGGCAACAAGAACGAAACTCCATCTCAAAATACAAACAAACAAAACCAAAAAAAAAACCCCACAAATTCCTCAATCAAATTATCTAGGAGAGTGGGATCCAGGAAGCTGCATCTTTAACATGCTCAAGTAATTCTGCCATTATTCAGTCAAGTCTGGAAACATACATAGCTTTCTTCCTGAGACCTCATGGTTCTCCTGGAGCAATCGTGGGTTTCTTAGCGTGAACACTTTCACTCTCCCCTTTATAGAATATTTCACACTTGTAAATGATACTAGTATTTCTATATAATTATTGGTTTAGTGACTACTTTAGATAAACTAAAAGCTTCACAACAGCTGGAACTGTATCTCTCTTATTCGACAGTGTACCCCCAATCCTTAGCACCATGCTCAATATGTAGGCACAGAATGAATAAAGGACAAAGAAGCCAGTAGCCAGGTAGATCAGGTACGATCATTTAGCCACCATTCTACTGGTTAGTAAACAATGGTAACAGCTCCACAGACCGAAGCAAGAAGCCCAGCCAGCGTGTGACCTCTTCTCTTGCTGCAACACCTTAGCTTACCCGGGATGTCATGAAGAGGAGTTTAGTCTCCATGTCCGGGGTTAGACGACATGCTAGGAATTTTCGGGATGTTCTTGACTGAAGAAGCTGTAGGATACCTGAATCAAATGTGGAAGGGAAGAGAAAAGAGGAAGCCTAAGGACCAGAAAGAATGAAAGGCATGTTGGGAACCTGGGCCAGGTACTGATGGCCAGTAGTCTTGCTCACGGAGAAATTCCAAGACAAGACCAAGGGAGGTCAAGCACAGGTGGGGATTCCAACCAGCACTTACGTGTTCTGCTCCAAACAACCACTATCCCCAGGACCCAGCTATATTACTTCCTGTCTTCTGCTGGTCTTCCAGAGTCTCCTACCCACATGATTCCCACTGGTAACAGATGGGAAAGTTAAGGGAAAAATATGGGAAACCCTGGCTGCTCTTCCTGCTCCTGATGATCCCATCCTTGGGTCCTGGAATCAATGTTATTTGTGGCATGAGCATGAGCCCTGGAGTCAGAAACATGTGGATCCAGATCCTATTGTAGCTCATAAGCATGATTATTGGTTTTTCACACTCATGCGTGAGATGTGCCTCCCTCAAACCTTGTTACCATGTCCCCACATTACCTGCCTGACATGAGAGAACAAAAATAATTTAAAAGACCAGCATGGTGGCTCACACCTGTAATCCTAGCACCTTGGGAGGCCGAGGCAGGTGGCTCCCTTGAGCCTACGAGTTCAAGACCAGCCTTGGCAACATGGTGACACCCCATCTTAAAAAACAGAAAAAAAAAAAAAAAAAAAGAGGCCAGGTGCGGTGGCTCATGCCTGTAATCTCAGCACTTTGGGAGGCCAAGGCAGGTGGATTGCTTGAGGTCAGGAGTTCAAGACCAGCCTGGCCAACATGGTGAAACTCCATCTCTACAAAAATACAACATTTACCTGGGCATGATGGCAGGTGCCTGTAATCCTAGCTACCTGGGAGGCTGAGGCGGGAGAATCGCTTGAACCCAGGAGGCGGAGGTTGCAGTGAGCTGAGATCACGCCATTGCACACCAGCCTGAGGGACAGAGCAAGACTCCGTCTCAAAAAAAAAAAAAAAAAAGAGACCTGCCTCTGTCACCTAACCTACCAGCTGTACAGCCTTGGGCAAATTACTTCATCTCCTTAAACCTCAGTTTCTTTTCTTTTCTTTTCTTTTTTTTGGGACAGAGTCTCACTCTGTCGCCAGGCTGGAGTGCAGTGGCGCGATCTCGGCTTACTGCAAACTCCACCTCCTGGGTTCAAGCGATTCTCTTGCCTCAGCCTCCCGAGTAGCTGGGAATACAGGCATGTGCCACCATGCCCAGCTAATTTTTGCATTTTTAGTATAGACAGGGTTTCATCATGTTGCCCAGGATGGTCTTGAACTCTTGACCCCGTGATCCGCCCGCCTCGGCCTCCCAAAGTGCTGGGATTACAGGTGTGAGCCACCGCGCCCGGCCTCAAACCTCAGTTTCTTTATGTATAAATGTAGAAACTAAAATACTCACAGGGCTGTCCAGAAGATTAAATGAGGTAACACATGTTTGTCTAACACAGTGGAGGCACTTAAAGCAATGAAATAGATGTTCAATATAAGAGTACTACAATTTCCAGCACTTTCTTCTTTCCTGACTTCCCAGGTCCTGGACAACTGCCTTCAGAGTGAGTGTGTGTGTGTGTGTGTGTGTGTGTGTAGGAGGGGAGCGGGTGCATGCACGATCACAAGCACGTGTGTGTTGAGGTGGGGTGGGGAGCAAAGCTGTACAGTTATTGTTCAGAACATAGCAGGACCCTGGGAAAGGGAAAGGGATATAAAAAGGACCTTGTCGGGAGGAGGCACACGGAGACTCCCTCCTCCAAAGTGGATTTTGCCCAAGCTGGATCCTTGGAATTCGAGGCAAGACTGTTCCCAGGGAGGGGCCTTCTCTTACAGGACTAATTCCAGCCCTCTACTGACTCAGTCTCACGAGTTGACCTCTGACTCCCCTGCTAGACTCCGTGAAGCTGAACACTGGCCACTGGCTCACCTCCTGAGCCAAGGAGCTGCCAGGAAGAGGGGAGGAGGACTACAGTTATCTGTCTCACTTTTTTCTTAGTAGTAATGTGGCAGCTGGAGTCTGCCAAGTAGGGGCTGTCTAGGAACTACATGAATTGTTCTGTACCTCTGCCATTCGCAGTTGTACTTGGCAAAGCTTGCCCTGTCCCAGGCTTCCTAAATCTGACCACCAAAGACTCTCCTACCCACCAACCTCTACCTTCTTGATTCAAGCAAGACATACACATTGAACTCCCAGCTCTCAAGGACAGGATGCCTAAGACCCTACTTACCTGTGAACTGAGGACTCAAGGCCTGAGGATTATGGATAATATCTTTCCAAAGCAGTTCAAATTCTGGTATCCTAGCAACATTCTGAAGTAGTCTTACGAGATCCCGACCAATCATCAGACATTCCATGAACTTGATAGGGAAGAGGAAGTGGGGGACAGGAAAGAGAATAAAAACATGGATTGTTTACCTGCTGGAGGGAGGACAAAGGAACAACATGTTCTAGGGAGGGAAGGAAAGAGGGTTGAAGAAACTATGATTTCTTCTGGAACCAAAGGATTGGCTCCTAGCTGTTCAGGGGAAGAGAGCTGGAAGCTGGGGACTGATATCAAGGATGAGAGGTTAGTGGGAAGTGCTGAAGCCCTGCTGGCTTTCACATTAATCTACCTCCCTCTCCACTCAGAACTGTTTCAATCCAGTTCAAGGAAGATTAAAGTTTCAAAAGGATGGGACTGGCAAGTTGAGCCCCAGAAACCCTAACCTCAAACTTATTTTGTCTAACAAAATTCTGCAGTATCTAATTCTGTGGGTCCGATTCTGTGGTAGAAATGTCTATATCTGTGTAGTCTAAATGAAACCCATTAGCAACGTGTAGCTAATGCAACTAGAGAAGTGAATTTTAACTTTTTATCTAACATTAATTTTAGGCTGGGCAGAGTGGCTCACGCCTATAATCCCAACACTTTGGGAGACTGAGGTGGGAGGATCACTTGAGGCCAGGAGTTTGAGATCAGCCTGGGCAACAAAGCAAGGCCCAGTATCTACAAAAATAAAAAGTAAAAAAAATTTTTAATTGCCACATGGGAGGTCTGATAGAGGACAATTCATAATCCCACTAGACCATGGGAATTACCCAGGAGAGTAGGTGGGGGACTGTGTCATGGTAGGCACACAAGGACAGCTTATGTCTGTGGTATACAACAGTATCCTTGAAGCTGACCAGGGAAATCCCAAAGATGCCAGCTTAACAGGTAGCATTTCTAGGAATTAGGGCTATTTTACACTAACTCCCCCTCCTTTCTACCCTCATCTGTTGATGAATGATGGAAAACACCAGATCTTGATGCACCTTCATCTCTAACAAGGTATTTCTGACTCCACTGCATAAACCTCCAGAGGTATCTTAGCCTGAGTCTCACTTCCCCACATTATTTTTGTCCTGTTCCCTCACCCGTTCCCGAAGCAGTGAGATGCAGAAGTCTACTTCCTTCTGTCGCAGGGCCTGGAGCTGGGCAGTCCCATGGTGGTCCACGATGAGGCGGAGGTACGTGTAAACAGCCATGGCAATGAGGATGCTGCTCTTCAGGACCCACTCCCTGCAGGGAGGAAACACACTGGCTCCTATGCTCTGTCTAGAACTATTCACCCTCCCAATTCACGCTTCTTGGGCTTGGCTACAGTGCCTCAGAAATAATTGATGATTTGACACTGGGAGTAGATGCTTTGATTTTTTGCTTGCTCACTCATGCTAGTATCTATCTTGGACTATCAACTGGCTAAGCTACGGACAACTTCCTAATTTTCTCTTCCAAGTGCCTATAAAGATAAGTGCCAAATGAAAGCAATCTCTTTTTACCACCTAACTACTTAGCTTCCAAGAAAATAACTCTCTTTGTTGACTCATTCATTCAAACATTTACTGAGTGCCTATCATGTGCCAAGCAACATGTGAGGTACTAGGGACAGAATTAACCACAGTATCTACCCAGGTCAGACTATGGGGAAAAGCTGGGTAAGTGTCCCTAAGTCAGTGGTTCTTAAGTGTGGTGCAAGAACATGTGGGGACTGCCAAGACCCTTTCAGGACCTGGAGTTTTGAGAACATACTGTGCTAGCTCAGTCTGCTTATCATTAGCAGCTCACCATGCCACAAACCTTTCCCTGGCTCTATCTAGTCACTGATACACAACGAGTCCCCACTCCCACACAATGAGTCACCTGTCCTAAATCACAACCTGAAAAAAAGAACCCGATTTTGGGTGGCAAACTCCTTTTCCCATGAGTTTCAGAATATCCCTGAGGGAAAAGGGGGTAATGAAAGATTTGTTCCCAGTTGCTTTAAAAGGAGTAGAGAGAAAGACACAGTGGGGATATTCCTAAAACTCTAATCCTGTCTCTAAGTGACAAAATTGAGACGCTGTCTCCTCCCAGCAAACAATTTGTAATGGCTTTGGCCCCCCTGTTGGAAGGCAGGGAACTGCAGGAAGATGAGATGGTGTTTAATTAGTCCAAGCAGGCCACATCCTGATTCCGGAAAACTACTCAAGCCACCTAATTAAAAGACTCTGTGGCCTTTTCTTTTCACAGAATGGATACACTAGCCAAGGTTACTGGGGAACGTTTCCTCCCCTACCTGCTACCTTTTAACTCCACAGCCCTAGAAACATTTGGAAGGGAGTGAGAAGGAGGGTGTAGGAGAGGACACAGTTTTAAATTTCTAGGTATTGACTTTCACCAAAAGATGTAAGTTTTTTGGAGGGTAGAAAACAGGGCAGTTATCTGGCTGTTATCTGATGCCTGTACAGGAAATTCAGCTTTAAGGTATGGGGACAGGACGTATTTGGTACCACGAATAAAATAAGAAAAATCACTTTTTAGAAAGATTGCTAGCAAAGGTAACGAAATTACCTGAATCCTGGAATGGCATAATAAAGAGAAAGAAAGAGTTGAAAGGCCCCCTGACCCAGGACAGTAAAAAGGAACAAAGACCTATCTGGTAAGAAGAGACTGTTAGGATCTCACGTGCTAGTGCAATGACACCAATAACAGAAGTGGCTCCAGGCCCAGATGTGGCTGCACATCCGTGCCCAGAGCACTAGGTGGCACTGCACAGCAGACAGGGCAGGGCTCTCAGACCTGGGCAGAGCACAGCACACAGCCATCTCTTTCACAAGTGTGAACGTTGGGAGGAGGTCCATTCTTCTGAACTACAGATAGTATGGACACTATTAGCCCTCTCAATCATTTGACTACTATGGTGTCCTCAATCAGAAAAGAGACTTAGAAGTCAAGCAAGAGGAAGACTGAAACCAAGGGGAAAGCCTCACCTCCAAACAAGTTCAGATGTGGAATAGCCCTCATAAAATTTCTGGCCCTTTATTTTGATGGATAAGGGAAAGAATCAGCCAGAAAGCCCAATATGTACCCCCTGATGCACCCTCTACCACTGGAACCTCCAAACCCTATATGCAAACTCCAGCAGGATTCACTAATCTCTATTACCTGCTCCACCCCAACTGCCCCCTGTGCCACTTCAAAAAGAGCAGGGGTTGGATGGAGAAGCTTGCAGGGGAGAAAAGGATACCTGCCAGGCGTGGGTGTTTGGCTGGCCCAATTCTACTGAGCTCATTCCTCCCCAACTTCCCCCTAAGATAAACATTCCAAGGAGGTCTGGATCAAAAATAAACCCTTATCAGATGAAGCCAGTTTTTCTGGGCTATGCGATATTTTGGCAAAGACCTCTTTCCCATTCCTTCATTCCTTGGGCATTAATTTCTTCACTTGCCAACAATACACTTGTCTCTCCCTCTCCTTGCCTCCCCCTCTCTAACTTAAGGTGTTCTTGGGCCACACAATCCTTTCATCCCCATTTCCCACACCCACACTCCTAATGGCCATTATCTGGCCTGTACCCCACCCTTCGTGGTGGATGCTACCTTTGCTCTGTCAGGATATCCAGAACACTTTCTGCCAACCAGATATTTTTGGCTGTAACATCTCCACCTGATTTCAAAAGGGGAAAAAAAGAATAGCTCCGATTAGCAAGTCAGCCAATCCAATACATCTCTTCACCCATTCTGCTGGTCCACCCTGACTGCCATCCCATTACTGCCATCCCTTCACTGCTGAGATAAACTGCCTTCTGTTCTGTCAGGCTTTAAAGTTTCACCCTTTGCCTCCAGAAAGAAGGAAAGGGAAGGTTCTGAATTTTTCTAGAAACCAGAGCTGCTACTTTCCCACAGATTGTGAGTTGGAGTGGGAACATTTTGGCCCTTGAAAATGAACGTCTGAGAAGTAGATATAAGAAGCCCACAGTTGGAAAGAAAGGATGATATCTCAGATAGAGCCTGAGAAGTACAGGTGGCTGACAACAGCTGCAGTCTAGCAACTGGATGTCCTGAGTCCTGCACTGAGGCCCCCAACAGGCCAAGAGTTTCTTATTTCCAGGTAACAGTCTTTAGTGCTTGCTATGAAACTCTGTGGGGCAGAATTAACACACAGCAATGCCATACCAGTCTTGGGATAAGAAGCAGGGGCTGGAAGTGCCAAACAGGGAAGAAGTGCCAGGAAAGAGGATAAAAATAGCTACAACTATGCCTTGCCCCAGGTCTCAATTAAAAAATTCAATGTTCACAAAGTCACATATCACATAGATTAAGGTTCATACACATCAAAACAGGAGCATCAGTGTTACATAAAATTTTAAAGAGGAAGCAAGTCCCAGTGGGCTAATGGTGAGGTAGTAGCAGGTCACTTTTAAACAAACACATGCAATCTTGGGAGTAGCCGCTTGAATATGCGATAGCTCAGACAGATGTCACCGATGCCAAGATGAGAATAAAACCTAAATGTCAGGGTCTGTTCTGTGACATAGTTTGTCCCTCATTCTGGCCCCAGTAAAGGGCTTAATTATTAGGGAGCAAGCGTTCAGATAATGGGGGTGGAGCCAGGGAAGATGTCTAGGTTTCTGAAAGCACAGGGACTTGAGAACAAATTAATTGCCCTCACTTCTCTCCCCATTTCTTCCTGCTCTGAAATGCTATAAAATCTCAGAGTGAAGACTGGCTAAAATAGGCCAAATATTCTGTCAAGCCCTGGGTTTAGCAGGAAAGAAAATGAGGCAAGACTTACTGCTTTAAAAGGCCCCCCATGATTTTTCAATCAATTTATTTCTACAACATATGTGGCCAGAAGATGTCTGTATCAGAAGGAAACAGTCTAAGCAATCCAAGAATTCCATCCCTTTGGCACTTAATCATTCTCCATTGTCTCTATGTAGTCTCTGGGCTCTCCTCCTTTCTTCTTTATGCTCCTGCCATCAAACTCACCTGCAATCTGCTTCATAAACGTCATACAAACACCATCGGCTCCCAGAACCCCACTCTTCACCAGTTCCCGTACCAACCACACCAACTAAAGGAAAGAGGGAAAAACAGATGAAGAGCAGGAACTGTGAGTTTGAGAAGGGAGCTAATTCAATTACAACTGAAAGGAGCACATTACAATTTAGACACACAATGATAGGGGTGTGTTAGCCCTGATTCCTCTTTCCCGTTCCTGACAGAGAGAAGATCCATCCTCTCTCTTTGAGCTGGATCTTGTCTTTTCTTTCTGGCCTTACCTGAGTACGGCAGGTATCCTGCAGCTTCAGGTACTTCTCCATAAGTATCTGGTTGATTTTATTCAGGACAATATTCATGCCATCACGACTCACCAGAGCTAAGTCCCGGTAACACTGTGAGAAGTAAAGTTTGTGATCAGCCAGCAAGCTGAGGATAAGGTCCTCACCCCACCCACAGTGGACCCCTTGCCCTCTAATCCCTTAAACTTAAATAACACCAATAAGACACCGAGTAGCAATGAAATACTTTTCATTCTGGACACTTTCTTTCCACAGGGGTCCTGCATTCCCAACCTATCCCTTGTTCTGTCACACAGAGTGGGGAAAAGGTACTGGTTATCCTTTAATGAGGCAGAAAAGCCTGCTGGGCAGCCAGGTGCAGTGGCTCACGCCTGTAATCCCAGCACTTTGGGAGGCCAAGGCGGGTGGATCACGAGGTCAGGAGATCGAGACCATCCTGGCTAACACGGTGAAACCCCGTCTCTACTAAAAATACAAAAAAATTAGCCGGGCACGGTGGCGGGCACCTGTAGTCCCTGCTGCTCGGGAGGCTGAGGCAGGAGAATGGTGTGAGCCCGGGAGGCGGAGTTTGCAGTGAGCGGAGATCGCGCCACTGCACTCTAGCCTGGGTCTAGCCTGGGCGACGGAGCGAAACTCTGTCTCGGGGGCAGGGGAGAGAAAAGCCTGCTGGGCAAGGCTCCTAGTACTATCCCTGTCCCCCCCACTTCCCATCTTAGGAAGTGTCATACTGTTTGATGCCACAGGCTGAGCAAAACCAGGTGGAGGCCATCTGCTTTTCACCTGCCAGTCAGTAAAAGGTCACTGCAAAATGGGTTTGGTTGAACAAGCCAAAAAGGATCCCAAAGAGGTTTTTAGACCAGTACTGACCCAGTCAGATACAGCAAAGGGAGTAGTAAGGGAAGAAGATCCAGGGCAGGGCCCTAGACAGTTAAGGACAGAACCAAAACTGATATTTTTTTGAATTTTTAGTTTTTTTATACTTGGGGTCTTACTTTGTTGCCTGGGCTGGAGTGCAGTGGCATGATCATAGCTCATTGCAGCTTCGAACTTCTGCGTAGCTGGTACTACAGGCATGCACCACCACGCCCAGATAATTTTTAAAACAGTTTTTTCTAGAGACAAGGTCTCACTATGTTCCCTAGGCTGAAACTCTTGGCCTCAAGTGATTCTCCCACCTCGGCCTCCTCAGTAGCTGGAATTACAGGCATGAGCAACCATACCCAGCTGAACTAAATATCTTTATTCTTTTCTCTGTGATGCCCTTTCCTTCTGCCACTTATTGAAAAAGGAAAGGTGCTTTAGCATACCAAATCCTGGGGGAGGTAAGGGAGGGCATGCTAATTTCTTCTGTGAGATTATTGCTTCCCTTCCCCCCTTAGTTTTTTTTTTTTTTTCACTCTGTCTCTATTGTGAGACCAGACTCCTGGAGGAATACCTTAGGGGGCCTCATTAGCAACTTCCTTAGCCTGCTGAGTTCTATCCCGTCAGGATCTCATCAGAAAGAGTAGAAACTAGGCAGGTAGCTTCCCACAACCTCTGAAGACCAGTAGCAAGGATGGCATCAAAAATAATAATCATATAGTATAGCAAGGGCCGGGTATGGTGGCTCATGCTTGTAATCCCAGCACTATTTGGGAGGCCGAGGCGTGTGGATCATCTGAGGTCAGGAGTTCGAGACCACCCTGGCCAACATGGTGAAACTCCATCTCTACTAAAAATACAAAAATTAGCTACGTGTGGTGGCACGTGCCTGTAGTCCCAACTACAAGGGAGGCTGAGGCGGGAGGATCACTTGAACCCAGGAGGTGGAGGTTGCAGTTAGCCAAGATCGTACCACTGCACTCCAGCCTGGGTGACAGAGACACCCTGTCTCAAAAAAAAAAAAAAAGTACAGCAAGGATGTTGTTATACTATAGCAAGCAATAATACAGCAAGGATGGCATCAACAACAATAATATATATATATGTATATATTACTGCATTTGATATACATAACAACCTTTTAAAATAGTACTACTTATTATAATTATTTTTACAGATGAGGAAATAGGCATGGAGAGCTTAAAAGTTATTTGCCCCAGATGACATAAGAGATTAGAGGAAGAACCAGGATTCAAATCCAGGCACTCCAATTCTATAACATGCTTAACCACCTCTTGTATCAACGTTAGAAATAACCAGAAGAGGCTGCTGGGAATAGCGGTATGAGTTTGTAATAGTTTTGAGACTCTACCTTTCTCCTGTCTTGGCCTCCCAAAACACTGGGATTACAGGCATGAGCCACTCCGTGCAGCAACATTTCTAAACTCTTTCATCCTATGCATTCAAAAGAAATGTACCCCTCAGTACCATCTGCTCTCTAGCCTTGAGAGACTCCTAACAGATTAGCTATTGCCACTTCCTTCTGCCTCTATTGTCGTTAAGTCAAACCAACTGATGATGAAAATACCCACAGTGAGAGATCCTCCATGTGCCATAAACTTCATCCCCAAAAGAGAATGACTCCCTCTGGGGGATGGTTGATGGTTGGGAGACCAAAAAAACAAATAAGGAAACAAGAAAGAGATGAAGGGTCCCAGTGAATTACTGTCAAATATTGATAGTTAAGTCCTGGACCCTCCCCTGGAGGTAAGTCACAGAATGGGCAGAGGACAAAGGAAGTAGAGGCAGAGGGAAAATCTGTGTCAGGCCAAAGACAGACATTACTAACTAGAGAAGAACCTTGTTGTTCAAATGAATGCAGAACAGACTCAGGACAGGGAAGCAGGACAAGTTCTCTCAGGAGATACAGGGTCAGATGAAGACAGCAGATACTGTCTGCCTAGTTCCATGTTCCATCTGGGATCTTTACTAACCACAACTGCTGGTAACAAATGAGAACCGAGAGTTTCATACACCTAAGGCTGCCAGTTGTGTTACCGACCTCTGTGTCGGTTTGCTGACCAGCTTGGAAAAGCAGCAGATGAAACACACACACACACACACACACACACACACACACACACACACACGCACATGCACACCCTCAGTGAGGAAAAGAGAAGTGGAGAGTCTCAAAGAAAAGTAAAAGTGACTGGTGACTGGATGGCATCTATCCTGAATGTGTCAAGAGCAGTGATGTGTCAGCCTAGGCCCCAGAGCCCCCAAGCTTCTTTCTAGAGCTGCCTGCTGGGAGAAATACCTAGACCAAGAGCTGCCTGGGCCTGAGTCCTTGACCCTTTGATGAAGACAGACCTTGACATTAGACCCTTTCCCATTACCTTTATCTATTGACTGCCAGCACCTGCACAGCTTAGGACTCTACCTTAGCCTCCCTCCTTGCCACAGTTCCCCAGCCAGGCCTGCTCCCAGCTGTTTAGTTCAGACACCAAATAGAAAATAAATAAACTCAAAGGATATAAACATTCCTAAGGGCTGCCAAGAGGGCTGATGCAAATCAAGAAGGTACAAGTGAGACAAAATCCACCCCATGCATCCTCTACTCTTTCCCAATACTGACCTGCTTTCTCCTTAACTGAATTCTCTTGTTCACCTGTTCAATCCATCCTAATCCCACCCACTAAGTCCCAGAGAGTTGGCCCTAACTCCTTGAACCTGCCTGCCAGTACTAACAGAGGCTCCTCAGCTCAACCTTCCTTATAGCAGTATTCTATTTGTTCAAGACTCAGTTTCCACACTTCTCCACCATATCCACTTCCCATCTCAGCCCATGAAGATTCAAGAACAACTAAATCTCAAATACATCCTGAGGTTTCTGTTCCAAAGGCAGAATTAACCCCAAATACAAATCCTTAGAAAACAGTCCCATTGCTTTAAGCTGAAGCCTAAAATGATGCATTACAATCAGTCCTCATCAGTAACTCCCACCTAAAACTTCTGTAGGACAGAAGTATTTTTACAAAATAATCACCCTTTTAGGGAGAAGGAGCAAAGCTCTAGGGAGATACGTCACTAATTCTTCCATCATGCTCTGACCTGGCTCAAGGTCTCTGAATGAGTCACTACTTGATAGTTCCTCACCCGCCTAAAACTGTGTCCTCCTAATTCTGTCTTTACTGCCTTTGTCTGAAGAGGCCTGACCTGGAGGCTTGGCCCAGGAAGGCTCACAGGTAGGGGATTTACTTGGAAACTTTTAGCATGTGAACATGAATGCTAGCAAAGGTGTCAACCAGCTATGAGACCCGAGGCAAATGCTTCACTTCCCCAGAGGGCCTGGGCCTCCCACATGGGGCTGTTATAGGGCAAAAAGAAGAGGAGATACTCTAGTCTCTTGCTGTGTCTGGATGGCCAAATTCATGACATAATAAGCATTTACACTGCAGAACCCAGTGGCCTCTTACTGATAGGCCAGGCAAAGAGCTAGAAATACCACACATACTCTGCCCCCTTCACTTAGGTTTACTGATTTACCCAGGTTGGTTCAGATCACCTGAAACAAACAAACAAAACTTTCCAGCAGGCAAGACTAATTTGCACTGAGATGACTAAATGGAATTTGAATGGTATTTATAAAAACCCACACACAGCCAATGATGCGCACGCACACACACACACACACACACACACACACAGAGATTAAAAAACCCACACAAGAGGAAGTTAAACTTTAACTCCATCCCATCTACTCTCATCTTTGCCAACAATTTCTTTAAAATGGATGTGCTGGACTGGATCATATCACTCTTTAAAACCACCCAACTGGAAACATTCATTTGTCTTCAAGGATCTTGATGATAAATTCAGTATAAAAATGAAACAGCAATTTAACTCGACAAGGTCCCAGCCCAGAATGGGCTTGGCTTTCCTGGGAAACCAAGAATTTGTGAATACTTGCTGCCTCACTGCCCACCCTCACCCCAGACCCTATTCCAGCTGGCATCAGAAGTACAAACAGATCAGTTTCCCATGCCCATAAATCCTTCCCTTGAGGTTAATT
The DNA here is from genome assembly GCF_000001405.40 of Homo sapiens. Classification (NCBI taxonomy): domain Eukaryota; kingdom Metazoa; phylum Chordata; class Mammalia; order Primates; family Hominidae; genus Homo; species Homo sapiens. Next base: position 58,814 of record NW_003315905.1, on the reverse strand, counting down.
CAAGCAGCTATGCCAAGGAACCATGAGCATCCTGTTCTTATCCCCGGAAATGATTTTCCTTTGGTTCCCCTTGAACAAATGACACCATCTCTGACATCCAAGTTATCTCACAGAATTCAAAGAGATCACCCTGCCTAGTCCCTCACCTCAAGGAGGGAACCTACTTGAACCGTTCCACATAAAGGGGACTCTTCAGTTTGTGAAGAACCCCAGACAAGTTTTCATACAATATTCCTCAGGAAGTCTGACTCCAGTATACTCCAGTGTTCTCCTAATCACTACATTATTTACTGCATCAATCATGTAACATTAAGCTGTCTCATCTAAATCCTACCTACTAAAATTTTAAGCCTGCTTTCTATTCACCTGCCAATGGCAGAATCTGCAAACTACAGGCCATGCTCTTCTGGATAAGAACTCTCATGGACTTGGTTACAATTGTTCTCTTCTATTCCCTGGATTTAATCCCAACCCTTTTAGCCTTGCCTCATAAATTTAAAATTTAAAACTCTGTTTTTTCACTTTCATGACTGCCATTTAGCTTCAGAATCTGGAGATAGAGAAAGGACTTTAGTCAGAGGATGACCAATTCACTGAGTAAAAAGGGACTTGTAACTATATTTGGAGAACAAGGTGATCCAGCTCTGGTCGAAGAGTTTCATACTACCCCAGTTAAACTGTAAGTTCCACCATATCCCAGATCATATATGAGGAGGGTTTATGGGTCCAGAGCAGGGTGCCTTACCTTCTGGGCTTGGGCAGGTTCAGTGAGGATGAGAGTAAACAGGCCCAGGCAGATTTCTTCATGCTGGGGGAGGCCTTTGCACACCTGGAATGTGAGAAAGGAAAACAAACTAGTTGTCACTCACAGGCAGTAAGTTCTCAAACTCAGTTTCTCCCAGAAAACATGGGACTCCTAAGGAAGATGCAAAGGAGAATAATCAACTTTTAAATCTGATGATTTCCTTCTCTTAAAAGAGATTTTTAAAAAAAGAAGAGAGATAAGGACGACAGGTGTGGTGGTGCACACCTGTAGTCCCAACTACTCCAGAGGCTGAAGCAGAAGGATCGCTTGAGCCCAGAAGTTCAAGGCTATAGTGCACTATAATCATGCCTGTGAACAATCACTGCATTCCAGCCTGGGCAACATAGCGAGACCACATTGCTATAAAAATAAAAAGCTGTACTGAAAGATGCCCAAGGCTCCAAGAGATAGGCTCCCACAGTAAAAGAGAAGAATTGAGAAATTTGATTCAGGGAGCCAAGACTTGATGAATTTCAGTCCCCTACCCCCAACCACTTAGTCTTTCCATCTTTTTGACCATGTTTCAAGACCTTCACAGCAGCAGCAGTGGCTGCAGGGACAGCATTCTACTTACATACGCATTGAGGGCATCATTGGCTTCTCTCTCCGAGACACCAGCAGTCATCGATGTCACAATGCTCATACACCTTTCCAATCTCTGGGAAGGGGTGAGAAAAAATGAACAGTGTGTCATAACACCACTTAGGAAGTACTTCTGGGCCCCTAAAAGTTTAACAATTCAAACCTGATCATGCCCATTGATCTAGCTGCCAGTTTACTTATAAAGTCACCATGAGGATAAAACCAGCAAAATCTAAAATGTGGAAACCATAAACAGGTGACCTGATTTCTTTAACACATAAATCGCAAGAAAAAAAGTGAGGGAAACCCATATATTAAGAGACTTAGGGCCAGGCGTGGTGGCTCATGCCTCTAATCCTAGCACTTTAGGAGGCCGAGGTGGGCAGATCACCTGAGGTCAGGAGTTCAAGACCAGCCTGGCCAACACGGTGAAACCCCGTCTCTACTGAAAATGCAAAAATTAGCCAGGCGCAGTGGCACATACCTGTAATCCCAGCTACCTGGGAGGCTGAGGCAGGAGAATCTCTGGAACCCGGGAGGCAGAGGCAGCAGTGAGCAGAGATCGCGCCATTGCACTCCAGCCTGGGTGACAGAGCGAGACCCTGTCTCAAAAAAATAAAATAAAATAGGGCGGGCACGGTGGCTCACACCTGTAATCCCAGCACTTTGGGAGGCCGAGGCAGGTGGATCACAAGGTCAGGAGTTTAAGACCAGCCTGACCAACATGTGAAACTCCGTCTCTACTAAAAATACAAAAAATTAGCCGGGCATGGTGGTGTGCGCCTGTAATCCCAGCTACTCAGGAGGAGGAGACTGAGGCAGGAGAATTGCTTGAACCCGGGAGGCAGAGGTTGCAGTGAGCAGACATCATGCCACTGCACTCCAGCCTGGGCGACAGAGCGAGACTCTGTCTCAAAAAAATATATTTTAATAAAGAAAATAAAATAAAAGGGACTTAGGCCAGATGCAGTGGCTCACGCCTGTAATCCCAGCACTTTGGGAGGCTGAGGTGGGCAGATCACCCGAGGTCAGGAGTTCGAGACCAGCCTGGCCAATATGGTGAAACCCTGTCTCTACTAAAAATACAAAAATTAGCTGGGTGCGGTGGTTCACACCTGTAATCCCAGCACTTTGGGAGGCCGAGGGGGTTGGATCACCAGAGGTGGGGAGTTCGAGACCAGCCTGACGAACATGGAGAAACCCCGTCTCTACAAAAATTAGCCTGGCATGGTGGCACATGTCTGTAATTCCAGCTACTCGGGAGGCTGAGGCAGGAGAATTGCTTAAACCCAGGAGGCAGAGGTCGAGGTGAGCCGAGATTGCATCATTGCACTCCAGCCTGGGCAACAAGAGTGAAACTCCGGCCGGGCGCGGTGGCTCACGCCTGTAATCCCAGCACTTTGGGAGGCCGAGGCGGGTGGATCACGAGGTCAAGAGATCAAGACTATCCTAGCCAACATGGTGAAAAAACCCTGTCTCTACTAAAAATACAAAAATTAGCTGGGCATTGTGGCACACGCCTGTAGTCCCAGCTACTCGAGAGCCTGAGGCAGGAGAATCACTTGAACCCGGCAGGTGGCAGTTGCCGTGAACCGAGATCATGCCACTTCACTCCAGCCTGGGCGACAGAGTGAGACTCCGTCTCAAAAAAAACAAGAAAAAAAAATTAGCCAGGCGTGGTGGCAGGCGCCTATAATCCCAGCTTCTCAGGAGGCTGAGGCAGGAGAATCGCTTGAACCTGGGAGGCAGAGTTTGCAGTGAGCTGAGTTGGCATCATTGCACTCCAGTCTGGATGACAAGAGCGAGACACTGTCTCAAAAAAAAAAAAAAAAAGACACTTAATATTATCATCTATCGAATAAAATGAGAATCCATCAGTCCATTTTGATAGATACATACATAATAAACAAGAAAGGAAAGCTCTTCCTTACAGTACAATGCCAACTAATAAATGTAGATGAAATGGTGAAAGTAATAACTGATTCAGGCAAATATCATCATCAATGGATGGTAAAACTAGTAGGTGAAACTTTTCAGAGAAAGAAGATAATTACATAGATTCAAAATACTTATTAATTACAAAAGGAATATAATAATCACTGTAGGAGAGCCTGGAGGACACTACCTTAACCAAGTGATCAAAGTTAATATCACTAAATAATGAGACATGTTAACACTATGTGCCTCTAACAGGATGCACTGAAAGGATATAACATCACTTTTATGGTTTTCTTGCCAAAAATGCATAAACTCAGTCCAATTATGAAGAAATTTCAGACAACCCAAACTGAAGGATATTCTACAAAACAAATGGCCTGTCAAAAATGCTTAAGGGCTGGGCACGGTAGCTCACACCTGTAATCCCAGCACTTTGGGAGGCAGGAGGACTGCTTGAGCCCAGGAGCTCGAGACCAGCCTGGGCAATATAGGGAGACCCCCATCTCTATAAATAAGAAAAAAATTAGCTGAGCATGGTTGTGCATGCCTGTGGTCCCAGTTACTCAGGAGGCTGAGGTGGGAGGATCACTTGAGCCCAGGAGGGCAAGGCTATAGTGAGCTATGATGGTACCACTACACTCCAGCCTGGGCAACAGAACATTATTGTTAATGTTTTTAGTTATGATATAAATATTATGATTATGTTTTTTAAAAGTCCTTTTCTTATAGACTTTATATAAAATGTTTACAGATAAAATTGTATATCTTGGATTTGCTTCAAAGTAATACAGAGGTAGCTGAAAGAAGATAAAACAAGATTGCTATCTACTGTTAAGTACTGAAGCAGAGTGATGGCTACATGAAGATTTTACTATTCTACTTTTTTATATTTGAAATGTCCCCCCAAAATGTTAAGAACAAACTTTAAAAACAATGAGAGTGTGAGGAAAGAAAAATAGAGCACCAAAAGCCAAATGAAAACCTACCAGGGGTCGGGCACAGTGGCTCACGTCTGTAATCCCAGCACTTTTGGAGGCTGAGGCGGGAGGATCACTTGAGGTCAGGAGTTTGAGACCAGCCTGGCCAACATGGCAAAACCCCGTCTCTACTAAAAATACAAAAACTAGCCAGGTGTGGTGGCGCGCACCTGTAGTCCTAGCCTCTTGGAAGGCTGAGGCAGAGGAATCGCCTGAACCTGGGAGTCAGAGGTTGCAGTGAGCCAAGATTGCACCTCTGCACTCCAGCCTGGGCTACAGAATGAGACTCTGTCCAAAAAAAAAGTACCAGGGTCTCCAGTTAAACAAGGATGAAAATAGCTGCATTAAAGCCTACCCAACAGTCATTCTGGTTTCAACTCCACCATGTCATGTGTTCAACATTCTAAGGGAACCTTAGTCACTGGTCCCTGTTCAGAAGAAGCAATATTGGTAAGATACTGACAAAATGCGACTCGTAAGTCAATGAACCTCTCCATTATCACCACCTAAACTATTTCCTGAGTCCTTTTAAAACTTTATCTTGAGGATTAACCCAAAAACTGTTTAAGAAAAACCAATTTCCAGTGATAATGATTCTGGCAAAAGAAGGACAAAGGAAGGCTGGTTTACTTCTACCTGATCTTAGAGGTCATCACCACACATCTTATTGAGAAGTGGTTCTATCACAGCATTTTGAAGAACTGACAAATATGGATAATAGGATAGAGGTTTAAGAATGAAAGACGGCCAGGTGCAGTGGCTCACGCCTGCAATCCCAGCACTTTGGGAGGCTGAGGTAGGAGGATTATGAGGTCAGGAGATAGAGACCATCCTGGCTAACAAGGTCAAACCCCGCCTCTACTTAAAAAAAATACAAAAAATTAGCCGGGCATGGTGGCAGGCGCCTGTAGTCCCAGCTACTCAGGAAGCTGAGGCAGGAGAATGGTGTGAACCCGGTCGGCGAAGCTTGCAGTGAGCCGAGATTGTGCCACTGCACTCCAGCCTGGGCGACAGAGGGAGACCCCGTCTCAAAAAAAAAAAAAAAAAAAAGAATGAAAGACAATTGGACTGGGCGCGGTGGCTCACGCCTGTAATCTCAGCACTTTGGGAGGCAGAGGGAGGGTGGATTATGAGGTTAGGAGTTCGAGACCAGCCTGACCAACATGGTGAAACCCCGTCTCTACTAAAAATACAAAACTTAGCTGGGTGTGGTGGCATGCGCCTGTAATCCCAGCTACTCGGGAGGCTGAGGCAGGAGAATTGCTTGAATCTGGGAGGCAGAGGTTGCAGTGAGCCAAGATTGCGCCACTGCACTCCAGCCTGGGTGACAGAGCAAGACTCCATCTCAAAAAAAAAAAAAGGATAAAAGACAATCATGCTTCTCCTTTACCATTATCCTCAGGTTGCCTATGTCTATCCTGTGTAAGAGCATAAGGTGGCACAGAGTAGAACTGAGTGTTAAGGCAAGGCAAGTGTTTGTAGCTCCCATAGCTATAAAACTTCAAGCTAAAATAAGCCCCAAGCCACTTATTACAACTTAATATCAGGTCTAACTATGCTCCAAATTAGGTCAGATTGGCAGCTCAGCCTGAATAAAAAGCACCTGTGTACTTGTGAAAAGGAGCTGTGAGGTCACATGAAGGCTGAGCTATGATTCTCACAGCCCACCTCTCCCACAAGCTCTGAGATCCAGTATTACCTAGTCCACCTCCTATATGATAAGGGGAGGGAAGGAAAACCCTCCAGCTGGGCTTCCTCTGTTTTTAAATCTTATCCCACTTGCCAGGCACAGTGGCTCACGCCTGTAATCCCAGTACTTTGGGAGGTCGAGGCAGGTAGATCACCTGAGGCCAGGAGTTCAAGACTAGCCTGGGGAACAGAAAGAGACCCCCCCAACCCCATCTCTACAAAAACTAAATAAATCAGCCAGGCATGGTCGTGTGCACCTGTAGTCCCAGGTACTTGGGAGGCTGAGGCAGGAGGATCACTTGAGCCCAAGAGCTGTAGGCTGCAATAAACCGTGATTGCACCACTGTACTCCAGCCTGGGTGACAAAGCAAGGCCCTGTCTCAAAAATCATCCCTCTCTACCCAAGACAATTATCACGGACTGGGGAATCAATTACATCCAGCTGCTAGGTTCAGATTGCTCTTACTAGGAGATCTGGGGGAAGCCCTGTACACAGCCTAGGTTAACGGTTTCAGAGGAGAAGGAGATGGTGAACAAGGAGTGGCACAGCATTCTAAAATTCTAGATATTCCTTCCTACCAAAGGGAAAAATCTCTGCTGAATCAATGGAGAGGAAAGGCAAGCAAAATCAAACAGCAGCTAGCTAATAAGCAAACTGACAGGAAGCATAACATAGAAAGAACCCTCCACACTTGCCAGCCTTAGGCTAATCTTGGGTAATTTAGCCACTCAAAACCCCTCAAAACAGAGATAATGCCTCTATCACAAGGTTGCTGTAAGGATTAAACAAAATGACATATGTGAAAGCACCTAGCATACAGCCTCACTTAAATTAGACCTATTCAATCTGTGGCCAGGCATGGTGGCTCATGCCTATAATCTCAGCGCTTTGGGAGGCCAAGGTGGGGAGGAATCACTTGAGGACAGGAGTTCAAAACCAGCCTAGGCAACATAGTGAAGCCGCTGTCTCTACAAAAAAAATGTTAAAAATTAGCTGGGTGTGGTGGCGTGCCTATAGTCCCAGCTACTTGGGAGGCTGAAGTGGGTGCATCATTTGAGCCCAGGAGGTTGAGGATGCAGTGAGCCATGATCACGCCACTGCACTCCAGCCTGAGTGACAGAGCAAGACCTTGTCTCAAACAAAACAAAACAAAAACTATTCAATTTGCGGGAAGCTCAGCAATTGCACAACTAAATTTAGAGAACTAAAACCTCTCCACTCCCAGACACTACTTCTATTCTAATGGGATGGCCTTAAAGATTCCTGAAAACTCCTACCACAGGACATGAATAAATTCCTGACCAGGCTAAAAAGCTTTCTCTCCTATCTACTCTCTGTAAACTTTTGCCTTCTAGGAGACAAGAGGAAAAGGTAGGGGAGAGGGAGGGGCCTGAATGATGTACCCTCTACCAGATCCTGCAAAGCTGGCTACACAAAGGGCTAGCTGAGCCTCCAGCAATGATCTATTGCTGAGAGACCTTGGGTTGAACAGTTTCTCTAGGCCCCTTCCCTAGCTCCCGTGAGCTCTGCTCAGAGGCCTGAGTCAATTCTATGGGTCACTGCTCAGTGAAGGAGCAAAGTGGCCTCTTGGAACAGAGAGGCTCAGCTAAGGTTGTAGAAAGTGAGAGTCCAGAATTTGGATGGGTGGATAACTGCAATGAGGAAAAAATGAGAGGCCCAGTCCTTTCTGTTCACAGGCAACAAGAAGTATAAAGGATACTTTACTCTTCCTGGACTACAGAAATTACTTTTCCAAACAGGGATGGGAAAATTGATTACAAATCATTCAGGGTGACAAAGGACCATGTCCCTTCAAAGAAAGCCACAGGAAGCCAGATCCCTACAATCAAGTAATAGCAACGCTTTTCCCCTAGTCTCCAGAGTCTCTTAGTAAAGATAGAATCATAGGTTCAGATGCCAACAACTGCTGGCAGAATGGCTCTGTTCAGAGTAAGCCCTCCATGACAGTACCTTAGAGAGCTGAGTAAATATTTACAATCTCTAGGAGCTCCTGAACTAATTTTTCTAATACTAAGACTACCTGACCATGGTTTCCATGAGAGCAGCAGCAGATGAAATGGGGGAGAAAGGGGGGGAAGGCCTTTCTCTTTCCCAGTATATACCCAAAGCTGGAGACTCAAGCTGGAGGAACCCCTCTAACCTTTCCATTTCCCCTCCCTCAGCCAGGTGGATATAGAGTCTGGTAAAAAGCATACAGTGGCTGGGTGTGGTGGCTCACGCCTGTAGTCCCAACACTCTGGGAGGCTGAGGGGGGCGAATCACGAGGTTAGGAGATCGAGAGCAGCCTGGCCAACATGGTGAAACCCCATCTCTACTAAAAATACAAGAATCAGCCGGGTGTGGTGGCGCACACTTGTAGTCCCAGCTACTCGGGAGGCTGAGGCAGGAGAATCGCTTGAACCCGGGAGGCGAAGGTTGCAGGGAGCTGTCGCGCCACTGCACTCCAGCCTGGGTGACGGAGCGAGAATCCATCTCCCCACAAAAAAAAGCATACAGTAAATACTGCTCCCTATGGGAAGTGGCCTTAAACACCAAATTCCCCATCTTCAGAAAAGGAAGATACAATCTAACTCATAAAATCCCCAAGGACAGCTGGGTGCGGTGGCTCACGCCTGTAATCCCAGCACTTTGGGAAGCTGAGGCAGGAAGATCACGAGGTCACGACTTCGAGAGCAGCCTGGACAACATGGTGAAACCCCATCTCTACTAAAAATACAAAAATTAGCTGGGCGTGGTGGTGCACACCTGCAGTCCCAGCTACTTGGGAGGCTGAGGCAGGAGAATCGCTTGAACCCAGGGGGCGGAGGTTGCAGTGAGCCGAGATCGCACCACTACACTCCAGCCTGGGAGACAGAGCAAGACTGCATCTGCAAAAAAAAAAAAAAAAAAAAAAAAAAAAAAAAGCATTCGGTAAATACTGCTCCCTATGGGAAGTCAGTGGCCTTAAAAGACTAAATTCTGGCCCGGCACGGTGGCTCATTCCTGTAATCCCAGCACTTTAGGAGGCCGAGGTAGGTGGATCATGAGGTCAGGAGTTCGAGACCAGCCTAACATGGTGTACGAGGTCAGGAGTTCAAGACCAGCCTGACCAACATGGTGAAACCCTGTCTCTACTAAAAATACAAAAAAATTAGCCGGGCATGGTGGTGCGTGCCTTTACTCCTAGCTACTCAGGAGGCTGAGGCAGGAAAATCGCTTGAATCTGGGAAGTGCAGGTTGCAGTGAGCCGAGATGATGCCACTGCACTCCAGTCTGGGCAACACAGTGAGACTCCATCTCAAAAAAAAAAAAAGACTAAATTCCTCATTTTCAGAAAAGGAATATACAATCTAACTCATAAAATCCCCAAGGATGGCCAGGCACAGTGACTCACGCCTGTAATCCCAGCACTTTCGGAGGCCGAGGCAGGTGGATCACCTGAGTTCAGGAATTTGAGACCAGCCTAGCCAATGTGGTGAAACCCCGTCTCTACTAAAAATGCAAAAAAAGTAGCTGGGTGTGGTGGTGGGCTTCCGTAATCCCAGCTACTTGGGAGGCTGACGCAGGAGAATCGCTTGAACACAGGAGGCAGAGGTTTCAGTTAGCTGAGATCACGCCATTGCACTACAGCCTGGGTAACAAGAGGGAAACTCCGTTTAAAAAAAAAAAAAAAATCCCCAAGGACTCACGTAGGTGAGGAGTTATTGAACAAGCTGCGTTCAAAGTATTCCACAACCATGAGTCACTGGTATATGAAATTATGATTTGTAAGGGGACAAAAACTAGAAGTGACTCAAAGCCCAGTCCCTGGAGACTCCTCACATATGTATATGAATTATTCCTTGGGGAAAACCAGGTAGAGACATACCTCTAACCAAATGCAACCCTGAGACCTATCCAGCGCTTAAGAGGAAGCTCTGGCCAGGCTCGGTGGCTCATGCCTGTAATCCCAGCAATTTGGAAGGCCAAGGCAGGTGGATCACCTGAGGTCAGGAGTTCGAGACCAGCCTGGCCAACATGGTGAAACCCATCTCTACTAAAAATACAAAAATTAGCCAGGAGTGGTAGTGCCTGTAATCCCAGCTACTCTGGAGGCTGAGGCAGGAGAATCGCTTGAACCCGGGAGGCAGAGGTTGCAGTGAGCCAAGATCGCGCCACTGCACTCCAGCCTGGGCGACAGAGGGAGACTCTGTCTCAAAAAAAAAAAAAAAAAAAAAAAAGTTAAAAAAAGACGCGGGGCCAGGTGCGGTGGCTCAAGTCTGTAATCCCAGCACTTTGGGAGGCCGAGGTGGGCGGATCATGAGGTCAGGAGATAGAGACCATCCTGGCTAACATGGTGAAACCCTGTCTCTACTAAAAATGCAAAAAATTAGCCGGGCGTGGTGGCAGGCGCCTGTAGTCTCAGCTACTCGGGAGGCTGAGGCAGGAGAATGGTGTGAACCCGGGAGGCAGAGCTTGCAGTGAGCCAAGATCCCACCACTGCACCACTCCAGCCTGGGCGACAGAGTGAGACTCCATCTCAAAAAAAAAAAAAAAAAAAAAGAGGACGCTCTTGGGCCTCCCACTTTCAGCCTGATTTAAAAGTGATTGGTCCCTCTTTGGCAGAAGAAAAACCAGGAGCTACCAAGGCTCATGAGATTAGGAACTACATGTTCTAAACTCCTTCAATCTCTGGCACTATTTTTATCTCATTCCCTCCCCAAATTGGGATGGGAATGGGCAAGAAGACTTCCGCCTTCAAAGGGAAAAACAGGGCCAAAGAGAAGAAAGGATATACCAAATGTTCCCTAGGGTAGTAGAGTTAAGAGTTCCTGCCTGGGATGCTCTTGACCAGTGCTTCCTACTCCAAATCTCTAAAGGTCTTTCCTAATCACACCCAATTATAATGACCTGTCTCTTCACTACTCTAACTAGTTTCTTTTGTTTATTGTTTTTGTTTTTTTACCTTCTTGTGGGCGTGTTAAATGAAGCCATTAGATGATAAGCTTCGAAAGGCAGACCTTGGATGTCCTCCAACCTGTTTTCCTATCAGACCCAGCACACAGTAAGCATATATGGTCAGGAAACTACCTCTGTGTTCCTGGGCAATAGGTAGGTCTGTGATGGGAAAATAACCAAGCCAGAACAAGCAGAGGTCAGTCGATCAACACCAAGTTTTCATAACTTCTGTGTGCAGAGATCTGTGGGGAGACCCAGAGGAAGAAGCCAGTAAGTCTTGCCCTTAGAGACCCTCTGGTCTAGTGGGGATAACCGAACCACACACATTGGGAAAAAAATAGTGTGGCAAGTCTTGCTAGAAAATTCAAATGCAAAGGACAAAGGGCAAAGAAGGGGGAGCTTGAGACATACTGGGAAACATCCACATTATGGAGATCAGAAAAAAAGAAAGACCCTCCCTCCCCCTTTTCCCTGGAAACAGTTGGAAGTTCACTCTCAGTATAAAAAAAGCCAGAAAATGCATGCTTCCCCTCTTCGATGGTCCCCTCCTGCTGCATCATTTCATTTAGTAGCAAACACGTCACTGCTCAGAAGAACAGGATGCTGTACTATTCAGTGAATTGAATTAAAGCAGAGACACAATGACGCCTCTAAGAATCAGGGTGGGGATTTCAACCCCTGGGTCTTTTGCCCTCCACTCAAACTGATGGAGGGATCAAAGGCAGTCCATTATTGACTTTCTATACTTCTAGAGCTCCAGTGTTAGTACACAGGGATCAAGAAATGTTTTGACAATGACAGTGGCCATTTCTTAAAAAGTAAATAATTCCAATTGCCAGGCAGTCCTAAAGTCATTCTCACCTGTTTTGGGAATACATTGTTCACATTCATAATTATATCTACCTTAGCTGATAACTACAGACAGCAGAAAACAAACTGATTTACCTGAATGCCCACAGAATTATGAGGGAAAAGCATGACGGGAAGGCAGACTGCAAGTAGACATTTGCTGGTGGAAAATCCACAAAGTTACTATCCAGCCACTTCTTGATTCACAAAGTTCATTTTGGCATGTATGTTCTACCATCTTGTATCTGACCCATTTTTTCAAATCTAAATTCTGAATTTCACCTGTCTGCCTGCCCACCCTCTAATAGCTGATAAAGTTAGAAGCTGGGAAACAGCCAGTGAAGAGCTAAGGCCTGTTAATGTACTCATCCTGTCCCTGGATAACCACCGAGTTGAATATTAGGCCTTACAAACAGTTAAGCAATCACGTCTCAGCTCTGGATCTCATATTCTTTTTTTTTTTTTTTTTGAGACGGGGTCTCTCGCTCTGTCGTCAGGCTGGAGTGCAGTGGCGCAATCTTGGCTCGCTGCAACTTCTGCCCACGGGTTCAAGCGATTCTCCTGCCTCAGCCTCCCAAACAGCTGGGATTACAGGCACAAGCCACCATGCCCAGCTAATTTTTGCATTTTTAGTAGAGACGGGGTTTCACCATGTTGGCCAGGATGGTCTCGATCTCTTGACCTTGTGATCCGCCTGCCTCGGTCTCTCAAAGTGCTGGGATTACAGGCGTGAGCCACCGCACCCAGCCTAGATCTCATATTCTTAAGTACATATTCTCGTTTGTAGGAGTGGAAAGGTATACGTGATCAACTCTGAGATGGCAGAATGAGAAAGCTGGGTAAGAGGACAGGAGGGGCAACTATCAGGTCCCCTGAAGTCCTCATTCAGGTCCATTCCATTTCTTCGCTCCACCTTCTTTTTCAGAAGCGATGTGTTCTCTCCTGTGTGTGTGCTATCTGGTTCTGAAGGAGAATCCCCTAGGTACCATTCACCCCACTACAGTGGCTGATGCCACCAAACTAAACACTACTCACTTTTCTTAAGTCTTCACTCATTCTAGATGCCCAGTTAACATCACTGGCAATTGGTTGTGTCTACACGAAGTCAATGATAGCATCTAACAGGAGGGTCCAAGGTCTACTGCCAGCTCTTACCAGCCCCCAAACATCTACACAGACATACATTACATCTCAACTCAATATATTGACCTAAGTCTGAAACAGGGTTGATAGTAAAAATAGCTGGGGTGTGTATGTCGAAAGGAATGTCAAAAATAAATTCGGTAAACCTGGATGTTGTATCCCTTCCTTCACCAACACCCCCCACCCATTTTCATACTAGTGGCTGCTGTTACTATGACAACCTGTCCAGGAAGTTGGCCCACATTTCTTCCCTCAGGAGCAGGAAGCTGGAGCAGTGTTTGTGTTACTTCACAAAAAACTTGAAAGCCTCCACCCCCGCCCCCACCCCCCGTCCTCCCACCCGGTATCCGCTCCAGTATCCCTCCAAAACCCAATTTCTTAACTCCCTTCCCTCCCCCCACACCTACCTCCTCTAACTCATCCTTGGCATCCAAACTGGTTGAAAGTAGCAGCCTCCCCCCTCCTGGGGCTCCTGCTCCCGCTCCTCCTCCTCCACCTCCCGCTGCTCCCGAAGCAGCTGCTGCTGCTGCCGCCCCTTTTCCCTTCTGCAACTCCATGGCTGCAGCCAGGAGCCGGGAAAAGGTCAGGGAGTGGATGGATGGACAGTCCTAGATATCGGGATCTCTGGATTGCCAGGGACTGGGGGGCAAGAGGAACAAGTTGGGGAGGGGAGAGCAAGGGCCCCTGTCCTCTCCACTCCTCCCTCCTCTCCAAAAGGCCGCGCCTGCGTTGGGGGCGAAGGCACAGTCCTCTGGGTCCTGACTCTGGGGTGGCAGTGCTGAGGGAAAGGCGTTGGCTCCGAAGTACAGTGGGGTAAAGGCCTGTGTCCCTATGGGAAGGGTAGGAGAGGCTTCCGCCCCTGAAGAAGTGGACCCTAAGAGCGTCTGACCCTAAGAAAGGAGGGAAACCCCTAAGTTTCTGCCTCTTTTCCCCGTGGGGGGAAAAGAGGAGTCCTGCCCCTGAATTAGGAGGTAGGAAACCTTCCTGGCTGATGCCCCAAGGCTTGGGGAGTGCAGCGCCTTTGGATCCGGCCCCTAGGGGGTGAGGGTGAGGCAATAAGCGCTATGGGAGGACGGGGAGGACCAGCGTCTCCCCACACCACACAGAAGCGGCCATAGTGGAAGGGCGGGGGGTGGGAAGGCGGAGGGCGGGGGAGGGGGAGAAATCGTCTAGGCCCGCGCCGGAAGTGAGCAGTCGCGGCCCCTGGCCTCCGCCAATAGCTGCTTCCGCGGTGGCGCTGAGTCTCCAAGGGGTAGGAAGACCTCGGCGGACTGGCCTTTTCTCCGTCTGCCAATGGTGTTGAGGGAGAAGAGAGCCTGGTCTGATGGACAACTAGCGTGCCCAATCGCTTCCCTCCTTTGCTCTCGGGGTGGGGTGGGAGCGCGAGGCGATGAGGAAGGAGAGAGGCTGCGCCGGCGTGCGCTGAGGCGCATGCGCGATGTCAGCCTCCGCCCTGTTCCTCCTAGAATTTGGGTGGGTGCAGGAACCTGGGCAATGTCCCTGCGTGGCTTTGAGAGACACGAAGCCTGCCACGAAGTGGCAGGGCGGGGGAGGGAACGTACCCCAACCCGTAGGCAGTCACAGAGCAAATGCCGTCGGGTGGTATGAAGCCAGCTTCCAGAGCTAAGAGTGCATCACACAGGCACGTGTATGCACTCACATAAGTGCAATTATCAGACTTTGCAAAAAAAGTGCATTGCCCCTTAGGCCGAGTCCGATGGCTGACGCCTGTAATCCCAGCACTTTGGGAGGCCGAGGCAGGCGGATCACGAGGTCAGGAGATTGAGACGATCCTGGCCAACGTGGTGAAACCCCGTCTCTACTAAAAATACAAAAATTAGCCAGGCGTGGTGGCGGGCGCCTGTAGTCCCAGCTACATGGGAGGCTGAGGCAGGAGAATCGCTTGCACCCGGGAGGCGGAGGTTGCAGTGAGCCGAGATCGCGCCACTGCACTCCAGCCTGGGCGACAAGAGCAAAAACTCCGTCTCAAAAAAAAAAAAAAAAAAATGTGCATTGACCCACTTGTGCAAAACAAGTCGTTCGAATCGTGCCAGCACTACCTCCAGCAAAAATGTTCCAAATGATAGAACCAACTTCATTTTTGTTTTGAGTATCTGGGACTGACCCATGTCACTTTCACCCAATGCAGTGTTGTGATGCGTTGCGAATGCAATGTGGCCTTGATTGTTTTGTAAGTCCATTTGTATTTCTTGGTTTTCCATCTGTGTGTCTCAGTGGCATTTTTTTTTCAAGAGCACTTTAGGATTATCTTTCACAGGCCCAAAGACAGATCAAATTTCGCTTTTTTTTTTTTTATTTTTCCTGAGACGGAGTCTCAACTGTTTTCGCCCAGGCTGGAGTGCAATGGCGTGATCTCGGCTCACTGCAACCTCCACCTCCCGGGTTCAAGCGATTCTCCTGCCTCAGCCTCCTGAGTAGCTGGGATTACAGACACCCACCACCACGCCCGGTTAATTTTGTTTTGTTTTGTTTTGTTTTTCCTTTTGAGACGGAGTCTCGCTCTGTCGACCATGCTGGAGTGCAGTGGCGCGATCTCAGCTCACTGCAAGCTCAGCCGCCTGGGATCATGCTATTCTCCTGCCTCAGCCTCCCGAATAGCTGGGACTACAGGCACCTGCCACCACGCCTGGCTAATTTTTTTCTATTTTTAGTAGAGACGAGGTTTCACCGTGTTAGCCAGGGTGGTCTCGATCTCTTGACCTCGTGATACGCCCGTCCGGGGATTCCCAAAGTGCTGGGATTACAGGCGTAAGCCACTGCGCCCGGCCAAATTTCGCTATGTTTAAAGCCTGCTTTAAAAAAAAAAAAAAATCCACAGGCTTGTCCTAGTGCAGTAGTGTTTACAACTCATTGATCACAACCAGTTACAGATTTCTTTGTTCCTTCTCCACTCCCACTGCTTCACTTGGGTAGCCTTTAAAAAAAAATCCACATTCCTGCTTGTTTTACTTCCAGTAAAATGGAGACAAAGGTTGCCTGTGAGCTTTGGGAACATTATGTGACCTAATGGATGTGAGATCACATTTTAAACTGGAATACACTGTACAGATACTAGTTACCACTACAGGCAATCCTATTTACTTTTACACTTGTAATGGCTTAACATTTTAACTCTATATGTGAATGTTCCTTTAAGTTGGCTCACTCATTCCTTTCTTTATTAGTAGGTGTAAGACCTTAGGGAAGTCATTTTGACTTTCTGTACATTAATTATCTGTAAAATAAGAGGTGGACTTGCTGATCTCTAAATATCTTTCTAGCACTGAAAGTCTATAGTTCTATTGAGAATACCTTGGATTTCTTCTAGGTGCAAAACATTGCATAGCCGCTGAAGAATGCAAACTCTTTGGGTGCAGTGGCTCACGCCTGTAATCCCAGCACTTTGGGAGGACAAGGCAGGGGGATCACTTGAGCCCAGGAGTTGGAGACCAGCTTGGGCAACATAGCAAGACCCTGTCTCTACAAAAAAAAAATTTTTTTAAAAGAATGCAAACTCAAGTTATTACAATAACATTACTGTGTGTCATTGGAAATACATATATATGTAATTGGAAATACATAGGTGAAAAAAGAAGAGTAAAGGGTAGAACACTGTACTTTATGCTTCCATTTGTTTGTGGGTTTTTTAAAGTAGGAGCTGGGAGCCTGGTGCAGTGGCTCAAGACTGTAATCCCGCACTTTGAGAGGCAGAGGCAGGAAGATCACTTGAAGCCAGAAGTTTCAGACTAGCCTGGGCAACAAAGTGAGACCTTGTCTCTACAAAAAATAAAAACATTGGCAGGGTGAGGTGTCGTGCACCTGTAGTCCCAGCTACTCAGGAGGCTGAGTCAGGAGGATCACTTCAGCTTAGGAGTTCAAAGCTGTGGTGAGCTATGATCACACCACTGCACACCAGCCTAGGTGACAGAGTGAGGCCCTGTCTCTGATACACACACACACGTGTATATATATATATACACACATACATCTATATACATACATATATATATATATATATATAGAGAGAGAGAGAGAGAGAGAGAAGCTTAATTACCCTTCTTTAGTAGGATATACATTTGTCAGGGCATAAACTATAGTTCTTCTTATATACGTATTAATAAAATGACAGTTGGGCCAGGTGCAGTGGCTCACGCCTGTAATCCCAGCACGTTGGGAGGCTGAGGCAGGCAGATCACTTGAGGTCAGGAGTTCGAGAACAGCCTGAGCAACATGGAGAAACTCCGACTCTACTAAAAATACAAAATTAGCCGGGGGTGGTGGGGCATGCCTGTCATCCCAGCTACTCAGGAGGCTGAGCACCAGAATTACTTGAACCCAGGAGATGGAGGCTGCAGTGAGCTGAGATTGCATCACTGCTCTCCAGCCTGGGCAACAGAGCAAGACCCTATCTCAAAAAAAAAAATCACTTAAAATCATAAAGTCAAAAGTTAAAATCAAAAGTCAAAATTGGCAAGAAAATTTGGTTATTTCTGTGTTCTACAATAATTTAACATAATAACCATAAATATAACTAATAACATACCAAGATATATCAGAATTTTAGGAATCTCATACAGTTTTGGAATACATATTAATAACATATCCATAAAAATATAACTTGGTTAAACAACAATTCTTTTTCCTTTTTTTTTTTTTTTTGAGATGAAGTCTCGCTCTGTTGCCCAGGCTGGAGTGCAGTGGTGTGATCTCGGCTCACTGCAAGCTCTGCCTCCCGGGTTCATGCCATTCTCCTGCCTCAGCCTCCCGAGTAGCTGGGACTACAGGCGCCCGCCACCGCACCCAGCTATATTTTTCTATTTTTAGTAGAGACGGGGTTTCACCGTGTTAGCCAGGATGGTCTCGATCTCCTGACCTTAAGATCCGCCTGCCTCGGCCTCTCAAAGTGCTGGGATTACAGGCGTGAGCCACTGCGCCCGGCCTAAACATCATTTCTTACTCAGTAATTTCTTTTTTGACAATACCTGATATGTAATTTAACATATCAAAAAACTTGTTTATTATCTCTCTTTTGGATGCCACAGGGGCCCTCTATAACATCCCAAAGTAAGTTGTTTTGTTTGTTTGTTTTTTGAGACAGGGTCTCACTCTGTCACCCAGGCTGGAGTGTAGTGGCATGATCTCAGCTCATTGCAGCCTCCACCTCCTGGGCTCGGTTGATCCTCCCACCTCAGCCTACAGAATAGCTGGAACTACAGGTACATACCACCACACCTGGCTGATTTTTCTATTTTGCAGTAGAAACAGGGTCTTGCTGTGTTGCCCAGTCTGGAATACAGTGACATGATCTCCACTCACTGCAACCTCGGCCTCCTGGGTTCAAACGATTCTCATACTTCAGCCTCCCAAGTACCTGGGACCACAGGTGTGCACCACCACACCCAGCTAATTTTTGTGTTTTTTGTAAAGATGGGGTTTTGCCATGTTGACCAAGCTGGTCTCAAACACCTGGCCTAAAGTGATCTGTTGACCTCAGCCTCTCAAAGTGCAGGGATTACAGGCATGACCCACTGTGCCCAGCTGTTCATCATGCAGTTTCTACGCAGGCTGCTTCACCAATAAATGACACTCAACTTGTTTTAAATGCATGTGATTACAAAAAACTGTTCATACTGTTCATCAAAAAGTGGGTGGGATTTTCCATTGATATTTCAAACATCTAATCAATGCAATCTATATTCTGAGTATCAATTTGAGTTGCACAGGTTAAGATGAGAACCCTTCACATAGTATTAAGGATGTGATGCAATCTGTACCTGAATTGACATTGTGTTTCCTCATAGTTAGGCTGCCTTTTTGAGAAATATCTTCCATCCCTGAGAGATCAGCTACATCAAGATAGCTCATCAGCTAAATCACGTTGGTCAAAATACCTGCTAACCAAGCAGATAAATAAATTCAGGCCAGGCATGGTGGCTCACACCTGTAATCCCAACACTTTGGGAGGCTGAGGCAGGTGGATCACCTGAGGTCAGGAGTTCAAGACCAGCCTGACCAACATGGAGAAATCCTGTCTCTACTAAAAATACAAAAATTAGCTGAGTGTGGTGGTGGGCGCCTGTAGTCCTAGCTATTTGAGAGGCTGAGGTGGGAGAATCGCTTGAACCCGGGAGGTGGAGGTTGCAGTGAGCTGAGATCATGCCAATGCACTTCAGCCTGAGTGAGAGAGTGAGACTTTGTCTCAAAATAGTAATAATAATAATAATCTGTCCTACTGTCAGTTGATTTTCAGTGTGCCTTCAGAGGGGGAAGGGAAAGTATCCCCTTGACCTCTACAGTACTTAGCCAAATTTTCACTAGGTCCAGCAAAACCTGAGCGTTCCAGTCACTACACGTACTCGCCAACACTTAGTCAGTCTTTTGAATTGTAGCTATTCTGGAAAGTGTTTACTGATATTTCATAGGTTGCTTTTTGAAATTTTTTGTTTGTTTGTTTGAGACGGAGTTTCACTCTTGTTGCCCAGGCTGGAGTGCAATGGCGTGATCTCAGCTCACAGCAACCTCTGCCTCCCGGGTTCAAGCCATTCTCCTGCCTCAGCCTCCAGAGTAGCTGGGATTACAGGCATGCGCCACCATGCCCGGCTAATTTTGTATTTTTAGTAGAGACGGGGTTTCTCCATGTTGGTCAGGCTGGTCTCGAACTCCTGACCTCAGGTGATCCACCTGGCTCAGCCGCTTTTTTAAATTTTAAACGTGTGGGCCAGGCATGGTGGCTCATGCCTGTAATCCCAGCAATTTGAGAGGCCAAGGAGGGCACATCACCTGAGGCCAGGAGTTCGAGATCAGCCTGGCCAAATTTTTTTTGTTTAAGAGTTGGGGTGGCCAGGTGCAGTGGCTCACGCCTATAATCCCAACACTTCGGGAGGCCGAGGTGGGCAGATCACAAGGTCAGGAGTTTGAGACCAGCCTGGCCAACATGGTGAAACCCCATCTCTACTAAAAGTACAAAAATTAGCTGGGCGTGGTGGCGAGTGCCTGTAATCCCAGCTACCAGGAAGCTGAGGCAGGAGAATCGCTTGAACCCGGGAGGTGGAGGTTGCAGTGAGCCGAGATCACACCACTGCACTCCAGCCTGGGTAACAGATAGACTCCATCTCAAAAAAAAAAAAAAGAAAGAAAGATTTGGGGTGGCCGAGCATGGTGGCTCACGCCTGTAATCCCAGCACTTTGGGAGGCCAAGGTGGGTGGATCACCTAAGGTCAGGAGTTTGAGACCAGCCTGGTCAACATGGTGAAACCCCATCTCTATTAAAAATTCAAAAATTAACCAGGGGTGGTGGTACTTGCCTATAATCCCAGCTACTCGGGAGGCTGAGGCAGGAGAATCGCTTGAACCCAGGAGGCAGAGGTTGCAGTGAGCAGAGATCGTGCCACTGTACTGCAGCCTGGGCAACAAGAGTGAAACTCGGTCTCAAAAAAAAAAAAAAAAAAAAGTTGGGGTTTGGCTGGGTGCAGTGGCTCATATCATAATCCTAGCACTTTGAGAGGCCGAGGTGGGTGGATCACTTGAGGTCAGGAGTTCAAGACCAGCCTGGCGACATGACAAAATCCCATCTCTACTAAAAACACAAAAATTAGCCAGGCCTGGTGGCGGGCACCTATAATCCTAGCTACTCCCAGCTACTCTGGAGTCTGAGACAGGAGAATCATTTGAACTTAGGGGACAGAGGTTGCAGTAAGCCAAGATCATGCCACTTCCCACCAGCCTGGATCAAAGAGCGAAATTCTGTCTCAGAAAAAAAAAGGCGGGGGGGGTTGGGGTTGGCCAGGTGTGGTGGGTCACACCTGTAATCCCAGCACTTCGGGAGGCCAAGTTGCGCAGATCACTTGAGCCCAGGAGTCGGCACCATTGTGAAACCCCATCTCTACAAAAAATACAAAAATTAGCCTGGCATGGTGGTACATGCCTTTAGTCCCAGCTACTTGGGAGGCTGAGGTGGGAGAATGTGATGTCGAGGCTGCAGTGAGCCATGATCATACCACTGCACTCCAGCCTGGGTGACAGAACAAGACCGTGTCTCAGAAAAAAAAAACAAAAAACAAAACAGTTGGTGTTGTGCAGGATCTGGATTTTATGGAAAACTGAAGAGTTGGAGTCTCACTCTGTTGCCCAGGCTGGTGTTTAGTGCTGCAATCATAGATCACTGCAGCCTTGAACTCTTGGGCTGAAGTGATCCTGCCTTAGCCTCCCAAGTAGCTAGAACTATAGGCGAAAAAAAAGAAAAAAGAAAAGAATTACATAACAAGTTATAACTTTGTTTAAGGTGCTTTTCCTTGGCATCATGTCTTTTTTTTTCTTTTGAGACAGAGTTTCATTCTGTTGCCAAGGTTGGCATCTTGTCTTAACTGGGCTTTTACCCACTCTTCCTCGGTTTGGGCAAATGATGGTACAATATGTGGGCCTGGTTTAAGCTCTGTGCCTTTGAGATCTAAATTTTCTACCTTGTTTTACCTAAGATTCATCCCTTTAGACATGCAAATTTAGGACTGCCTAGCTAACTGTTGCTTAGGGTAATAAAACAGGTAATTAGAAGATTGATAGTCTGAATGGCAAGAAGAAAAACTATTTATTTATTTATTTTATTTTTGTTATTTTTTGAGATGGAGTCTTGCTCTGTCGCCCAGGCTGGAGTGCAATGGCGTAATCTTGGCTCACTGCAATCTCCGCCTCCTGGGTTCAGGCGAACTCCGCCTCCTGCTTCAGCCACCTGAGTAGCTAGGACTATAGGTTTGCACCATCATGCCCGGCTAATTTTTGTATTTTTAGTAGAGATGGGGTTTCACTGTGGTGGCCAGGCTGGTCTTGAACTCCTGACCTCAAATGATCCGCCTGCCTCAGCCTCCCAAAGTGCTGGGATTACAGGCATGAGCCACTGTCCCCAGTCTATTTTTGTTTTTTGTTTTATGTTTTTTGTTGTTGAGGCAGTACCTCACTATGTTGTCCAGAATGGTCTCAAAGTCCTGGGCTTAAATGCTATCACCTCAGTCTCCTGTGTAGCTGGGATTACAGGCATGCACCATCACACATGGCAAAAAAAACTATTTGAAAGCCAGCTAATTATAGTTTTTTATGAAAGCTATAAGATGTACTTCTGTTTGTGTGTCTATATACCTATATGTGCTATGTGTATGTGACAATTTTTGATAAATAAAACTAGCTTTAAATTTGTTAGTAAAATAAAGGCCGTGTGTGGTGTCTCGTGCCTGTAATCCTGTAATCCCAGTACTTTTGGAAGCTGAGGCAGGAGGATCACTTGAGTCCGGGTGTTTAAGACCAGCCTGGGCAACATAGTGAGATTTCTTTTTTTTTGAGATGGAGTTTCACTCTTGTTGCCCAGGCTGGAGTGCAATGGTGTGATCTCGGCTCACCGCAACCTCTGCCTCATGGGTTCAAGCAATTCTCCTGCCTCAGCCTCCCGAGTAGCTGGGATTACAGGCATGCACCACCACACTCGGCTAATTTTGTATTTTTAGTAGAGACAGGGTTTCTCTATGTTGTTCAGGCTGGTCTTGAACTCCCGACCTCAAGTGATCCGCTTGCCTCAGCCTCCCAAAGTGGTGGGATTATAGGCGTGAGCCATTGTGCCCGGCCAAAATAAAATAAAATAAAATAAAATAAAATAAATTCTTATGTCATATTATGTTAAATTAAGTAACAGATAATCACGAAATGTCTGAGTCATTTCTAAATAAGTTAAAATACTGAAACATTAATTATTAAACATAAGTTTTATACTGTGGCATCTTATTTATATACAATATAGAAAACCTAAATATATTTAGATAGATCTTTTAATAAACAAAAATTGGGCTGATTGTGGTGACTCACGCCTGTAATTTTGCGAGGCTAACGCAAGTGAATAACTGGAGCCCAGGAGTTCAACCAGCCTGGGCAACATGGTGCAACCTTTATCACTACAATAAAACTAAAAAAAATTAGCCAGGCATGGTGGTGCATGTCTCTAGTCCCAGCTACTCTGGAGGCTGAGGTGGGAGAGTCATTTGAGCCTGGGAGGTCGAGGCTGCAGTGAGCTATGATTGTGCCACTGCACTCCAGCTTGGGTGACAGAGCAAAACCCTATCTCTTAAAAAAAAATTACTTACTTCCTAGGTTTTCACTAGAAATTAGGATTACTAAGAATTAAAATTATAGTTAGTAGAGGCTGGGCACGATAGCTCACGCCTGTAATCCCAGCACTTTGAGAGGCCGAGGTGGGCAGATCACAAGGTCAGGAGATCGAGACCATCCTGGCCAACAAAGGTGAAACCTCATCTCTACTAAAAATACAAAAATTAGCTGGGCGTGGTGGTGCATGCCTGCAATCCCAGCTACTCGGGAGGCTGAGGCAGGAGAACCGCTTGAACCTGGGAGGTGGTGGTTGCAGTGAGCCAAGATTGCTCCACTGAACTTCAGCCTGGTGACAGAGCTAGACTCCATCTTAAAAAAAAAAAAATTATAGTTAGTATATGTAATTAAAACTACTAGATATGGCCAGGTGTGGTGGCTCATGCCTGTAATCCCAGCACTTTGGCAGGCCGAGGTTGCAGTGAGCCGAGATGGCGCCACTGCACTCCAGCCTGGGTGACAGAGACTCCATCTCAAAATAGACAAACAAACAAACAAAAAACCTACTAGATATAAAAGAAACAATTCTGTATACAAAGTGTATAAATAAAAGCAAGATATATTTTTGGCAAGGAAAGTTGTAAAAGCATGTAAAAGTATTGAGAAAAAATAATTGTGTCTATTTTACAAGTTACTTAAAGTTTGTTTCAATTGGAAGGAATAAAAATATAGATAAAACTAAATGGATACAGAAGTTGGGAAGAGAAAGGGAATAGAAAAAGATTCTGTGGGGAACTGGCTGGGTTGAAAATCATGGCATGGGTACCAGCAGAGTCTGCAGTGGAAGAGGAGTTGATGCCTGGCCCTCTGCCACCAGACAGAAGGTTTCAATCCCTCGTTATCCCAGAGGATGCCTCAGGAATACCTGAGGAAGGTCCATACCAAAGCAGCTCAATGTCCAGATGCTGTGGTACCTCAAACTGACCCAAATAAGTTGAAAAGGAAGGACGGGCACGGTGGCTCACGCCTGTAATCCCAACACTTTGGGAGGCTGAAGCAGGTGGATCACCTGAGGTGAGGAGTTCAAAACCAGCCTAGGCAACATAGTGAAACCCCATATCTACTAAGAATACAATAATTAGCTGGGCGTGGTGGCAGGAGCCTGTGATCCCAGCTACTCGGGAGGCTGAGGCAGGAGAATCACTTGAACCCAGGAGGCGGAGGTTGCAGTGAGCTGAGATCACACCACTGCACTCCAGCCTGGGCGACAAGAGCAAAACTCCATCTCAAAAAAAAATGAAGTTGAAAAGGAAGCAAGGTGTGAAGGTTTCTCTTTTAGGATGCCAACCTGCCCCTGAAGGTTATTCCCCAATACTTCAGTGGCAATAGAAAGTGGCACCGTTTTCAACGTAAGACAGAATGTGCACAAACATAGAAGTCACTGCAAATCACGACAGTTGGATAGTAATGTGACTATGCCAAAATCTAAAGATGAAGAAGGCTAGAAGAAATTTTGTCTGAGTGAAAGTTTATATGCTGGTGTGGTCACTGACAGCTACAAATGAAAGTCCTAGAATTAATTATGTTCAAATTGGTTTTCCTCCCTTGGTTAGTATTGCTAGCAGAATGAATCAGACAACAGTAGCTACTGTCTTGGAATATCTGAGTAATTGGTTTGGAGAAAGAGACTTTACTTTGGATTTGAGAAGATGGCTTTATGTCTTATTGGCTTGCCTTGAAAAACCTTTATTACATGAGGTTCATTCACTGATTCAGCAGCTTGCAAGAAGGTGCTCTGAAGTGTGAGGCTCTTAGTGGATAGCAAAGATGATGAGAGGGTTCCTGCTTTGAATTTATGTATGTATTTATTTATTTATTTTATTTTTTTGAGACGGAGTTTCGCTCTTGTTGCCCAGGCTGGAGTGCAATGGCGCAATCTTGGCACACCACAATCTCCGCCTTCTGGGTTCAAGTGATTCTCTTGCCTCAGCCTCCCGAGTAGCTGGGATTATAGGCAAGTACCACCACCCCTGGTTAATTTTTGAATTTTTAATAGAGATGGGGTTTCACCATGTTGACCAGGCTGGTCTCAAACTCCTGACCTTAGGTGATCCACCCACCTCGGCCTCCCAAAGTGCTGGGATTACAGGCGTGAGCCACCATGCCCAGCCACCCCAACTCTTTCTTTTTTTTTTTTTGAGACGGAGTCTCTCTCTGTTACCCAGGCTGGAGTGCAGTGGTGTGATCTCGGCTCACTGCAACCTCCACCTCCCGGGTTCAAGCGATTCTCCTGCCTCAGCTTCCCGGTAGCTGGGATTACAAGCACTTGCCACCACGCCCAGCTAATTTTTGTACTTTTAGTAGAGATGGGGTTTCACCATGTTGGCCAGGCTGGTCTCAAACTCCTGACCTTGTGATCTGCCCACCTCGGCCTCCCGAAGTGTTGGGATTATAGGCGTGAGCCACTGCACCTGGCCACCCCAACTCTTAAACAAAAAAAATTTGGCCAGGCTGATCTCGAACTCCTGGCCTCAGGTGATGTGCCCTCCTTGGCCTCTCAAATTGCTGGGATTACAGGCATGAGCCACCATGTCTGGCCCACACTTTTAAAATTTCAAAAAGCAACCTATGAGATATCACTAAACACTTTCTAGAAGAGCTACAATTGAAAAGACTGACAGTACTAAGTGTTGGCGAGTATGTGTATGAGTCACTGAGCCTGGACTTTTTTTTTTTTTTTTAGATAGAGTCTCCCTCTGTCGTCCAGGCTGGAGTGCAGTGGCATGATCTCAGCTCACGGCAACCCCCGCCTCCCAGGTAAAAGTGACTCTCCTACCACAGCCTCCTGAGTAGCTGGGACTACAGGTGTGTGCCACCACACCCAGCTAATTTTGTATTTTTAGTAGAGATAGGGTTTGACCATGTTGGCCAGGCTGGCCTCTAACTCCTGACCTTGTGATCCACCTGCAGAGGATCAAAGCACGTTTAAGGCCACAGCATGTCAAAGCACCAGTCTTTGGGGTATTACTTTTTGAACCCCAACAGTACGTTGGTAAATTGTTGAGCAGTATCTACCAAAGCCAAACAATTGCCTATCCCATGATACAGCATTTATAAGTATATAGCTGAGAGAAATGAGTACCTGTGGCTACTAAAAAGCATGTATAAGAATGGCTGGGTGTGGTGGTTCCTACCTGTAATCCCAGCACTTTGGGAGGCTGAGGCGGGAGGATTGCTTGAGGCCAGGAGTTTGAGACCAGTCTGGACAACATAGTTTAACTGCCTTTGCAAAGATTATGCCCGTTTAGAGAAATCTAGCATGGCTGACTCTATCTTGCTTCTAGCATCACAGGCTAGCTATCTTCTCTTATTCCTAGGCATAGGCCAAGCTACCCATAGGAGGAATTTAGTGCATAGCTTAATTTAAAAGCAAGGATGATAATAGTGCCTTCCTAAAACTAACCCGCTTCTTGCTCAGGGAGTGAAAACTGCCTTATAAGACTAATGAAAGTCCACAGGATTAGGATTATGGGAGGGACGTGAATTCTACTAAAATATAGACATAGTTTCTATAATCCCTTACTGCTCAGGAGTCATGTGGCCGGTGGTCTCAAGATTTGTGACTTCCCCAATTGCTCCTATAGATAACATCAGTATTGTAGAACCTAAGATTGGTCTTTTAAAATGTTTTTCAGGGTGGGTGAGGTGGCTCACGCCTGTAATTCCAACACTTTAGGAGGCTTAGGTGGGCAGATCACCTGAGGTCGGGAGTTCGAGACCAGCCTGGCCTACATGGTGAAACCCCATCTCTACTAAAAATACAAAAATTAGCTGAGTGTGGTGGTGCATGCCTGTAATCCCAGCTCCTCAGGAGGCTGAAACAGAAGAATCATTTGAACCTGGGAGGCGGAGGTTGTAGTGAGCTGAGATCGCACCACTGTACTTCAGCCTGGGCCACAAGAGCAAGACTCTGTCTCAAAAAAAAAAAGAAAAAAGAAAAAGAAAAAAGTCAGACTTCTATCAGGGTGGTGCAAAAGAAATGGTCAAAACTGCAATTACTCTTGCACCAACCTAATACATTCTGGCAACTTACTGACCTTACCCAGACTTGTGCTCATGATATAACCAAATGGTCTTGTGCCCGCCCCCCGCCACCCAGAGGCCGACTCAGCACACAAGGACATTTTTCCACACCCCTATCATTATATCCCCAACAAAACAGCAGCACGCATTCCCTAGTTCTCTGCCCACCAAACTATCTTTGAAAAACCCTAACTTTGATGATCACTTGAGGCCAGGAGTTTGAGACCAGCCTAACCAACATGGCAAAACCCCATCTTTACTAAAAACACAAAAAATTAATCGGGCTTAGTGGCATGAGCTTCTAGTCCCAGTTACTCAGTATGCTGAGGCATGAGAATTGCTTAAACCGGGGAGGTGGAGGTTGCAGTGAGCCGAGATTGCTTCGCTGCAGTCCAGCCTGAGTGACATAAAGAGTCTCAAAAAGAAAAAAAGAAAGAGAGAGAAAGAAAGAAAGAAGAAAGAAAGAAAAGAAAAGAAAGAAAGAGAAAAAGAGAGACAGAAAAAAGGAAGGGAAGGGAGAAAGAAAAAAGGAAGGGAAGGGAGAAAGAAAGAAAGAGAGAAAGAGAAAGGAAGGAAAGGAGGGAGGGAGGGAGGGAGCCGGGCATGGTGGCTCACGCCTGTAATCCCAGCACTTTGGGAGGCTGAGGCAGGCGGATCACCTGAAGTCCAGAGTTCAAGACCAGCCTGACAAACATGGTGAAACCCCATCTCTGCTAAAAGTACAAAAATTAGCCAGGCGTGGTGGCTAACACCTGTAATCCCAGCTACTCAGGAGGCTGAGGCAGGAGAATCACTTGAACCTGGGAGGCGGAGGTTGCACTGAGTTGAGATTGCGCTATTGCACTCCAGCCTGGGCGACAAGAGTGAAACTCCATCAAAAAAAAAAAAAAAAAAAAAAAAGAAGAGAAAGAAAGAAAGGCCCTAACCTTCTAGCCTTCAGAGAGGCTGATTTGAGTGATAACTCTAGTTGTACTACACAGCTGGCCTTGCATTGATTGAACTCTTTATTGCAATAACAGGGTCTCAGTGGATTGGTTTCGTGTGTTCAGTGGCCAGAAGAACCAATTGGGGAATGACAATAGCCAGACACCATCTCTCTAAAAAACAAACAAACAAACAAACAAGTTATCTATGTCAATAAAAGTAAGAATAAGCCAGGCGCAGTGGCTCACCCCGTAATCCCAGCACTTTGGGAGGCCAAGGCGGGCAGATCACAAAGTCAAGAGATCGAGACAATCCTGGCCAACATGGTGAAACCCCATCTCTACTAAAAATACAAAAATTAGCTGGGCGTGGTGGCACACGCCTGTAGTCCCACCTACTCGGGAGGCAGAGGCAGGAGAATCACTTGAACCTGGAAGGCGGAGGTTGCAGTGAGCCGCGATCATGCCACTGCACTCCAGCCCGGTGGCAGAGCGAGACTCCATCGAAAAAAAAAAAGTAAGAATAATGATTACATCTAAGGGGTTGAAGGTCAGGGGAGGTATTGATTAGGAGGGACAGGAAAGAACCTCTGAGTTGTTGGGAACAATCCTATCTTTTTCTGGGTGATGGTTATATGAATGTATACACATGTAAAACTTTATTGAGCTGTACACTTTACTATATGTATTTTGTGTGTGTGTGTGTGTGTGTTTTGAGTTGGAGTCTCGCTCTGTTGCCCAGACTGGATTGCAGTGGCGTGATCTCGGCTAACTGCAACCTCTGCATCCCAGGTTCAAGCTATTCTCCTGCCTCAGCCTCACGAGTAGCTGAGATTACAGGTGTCCACCACTATGCCCAGCTAATTTTTTGTATTTTTAGTAGAGACGGGGTTCACCATGTTGGCCAGGCTGGTCTCGAACTCCTGACCTTGTAATTCGCCTGCCTCAGCCTCCCAAAGTGCTGGGATTACAGGCGTGAGCCACCGTGCCCAGCTTGTTGCTTTTTTTTTGTTTTTGTTTTTGTTTTTTTGAGGTGGAGTTTCACTCTTGTTGCCTAGGCTGGAGTGCAATGGTGTGATTTCGGCTCACTGTAACCTCTGCCTCCCAGGTACAAGTGATTTTCCTGTCTCAGCCTCCCAAGTAGCTCGGATTACAGGTATGTGCCATCACACCCAGCTAATTTTTGTATTTTTAGTAGAGATGGGGTTTCACCATGTTGGCCAGGCTAGTCTCGAACTCCTGACCTCAGATGATCCACCCACCTCAGCCTCCCAAAGTGCTGGGATTACAGGCGTGAGCCACTGCACCAGACTTACCTCAATTTTTTAAAATGGAGCAAATAAAGCTAAACTGAGGTACCACTTTTTATCTGTCAGGTTGACAAGAATCCCAGTTTTGATATAGGAGTTAAGAAGATGGCAGGGCGCAGTGACTCACGCCTGTAATCCCAGCACTTTGGGAGACCAAGGTGGGTGGATCATCTGAGGTCAGGAGTTTGAGACTAGCCTGGCCAACATGGTGAAACCCCATCTCTATTAAAAATACAAAAATTAGCCGGGCCTGGTGGCACGTGCCTGTAATCCCAGCTACCCGGGAGGTTGAGGCAGGAGAATCGCTGGAACCTGGGAGGCGGAGGCTGCAGTGAGCTGAGATTGTGCTACTGCACTCCAGCCTTGGCAACAGAGCAAGATTCTGTCTTAAAATTAAACAAACAAACAAAAAAAGAATCTACTTAGGCAGATAGGATATGGGAGTCCTTGGTAAGGTTCTCCTTTTATTTTTATTGATTGATTGATTGATTATTATTTTCAGATGGAGTTTCACTCTTGTTGCCCAGGCTGGAGTGCAATGGTGCGATCTCAGCTCACTGCAACCTCCGCCTCCTGGGTTCAAGCAATTTTCCTGTCTTAGCCTCCCGAGTAGCTGGGATTACAGGTGAATGCCACCACGCTCAGCTAATTTTTATATTTTTTTAATATGGACAGGGTTTCATCATATTGGTCAGGCTGGTCTCAAACTCCTGACCTCAGGTGATCTGCCCTCCTTGGCCTCCCAAAGTGCTGAGATTACAGGCATGAGTCACTGCACCTGGCCATTATTATTATTATTGAGATGGAATCTCTCTCTGTTGCCCAGGCTGGAGTGCAGTGGACAATCTGGGCTCACTGCAACCTCTGCCTCCGGATTCTCCTGCCTCAGCCTCCCGAGTAGCTGGGGTTACAGGCGTGCCCCACCAAGCCCAGCTAAGTTTTGTATTTTTAGTAGAGACGGGGTTTCACCATTTTGGTCAGGCTGGTCTTGAACTCCTGACCTCAAGTGATCCACCTGCCTTGGCCTCCCAAAGTGCTGGGATTACAGGCATGAGCCACCGCACCCGGCCTATTTATTTATTTATTTTCGAGACGGAGTCTTGCTCTGTCACCCAGGCTGGAGTGCAGTGGCAGGATCTCGGCTCACTGCAACCTCCGCCTCCTGGGTTCAAGTGATTCTCCTGCCTCAGCCTCCAGAGTAGCTGGGGTTACAGGCACGTGCCATCACACCCAGCTAATTTTTGTATTCTTAGTAGAGACGGGGTTTCACCATGTTGGCCAGGCTGGTCTCGAACTCTTGACCTCATGATGCACCTGCCTCGGCCTCCCAAAGTGCTGGGATTACCGGCATGAGCCACCAGGAGGTTCTCCTTTTAATGAAAAGCAACCCCAGATCATTTTCCTTTCTAACAAAGAGCAGCCTGTGAAATCGAGCTGCAGACATAGATGCCAACAGTTGTGCCAATCATGTTCAAAATGGCAGTTCCATCTTTCCTTCTCTTTGTCAGCCACAGTGTACAGTAAGGAGCAGATAATATGGCACCTGGCAAGGGGAGAGTTCATTTGCATAATAAGATTAGGGTGGGGTGGCCAGCCTTCCCCTCAAGCTATATAAACGTCACACCTGATTGAACCAATTTGATTTACCTACGTAAATCAGACATCGCCTTTCAAGCCTGCCTATAAAATCCGGCGAACTCTGCTGCCGGCCAGTCTTTTCCTTTGGGAAGCCCCTCTTTCTTGCCAGAGAGAAAGCTGTTCTCCTTTTTCTTTCTGCAACCTCCGCCTCCCGGGTTGCAAGTCCAAATAAAGCTAAACTGAGGTACCACGAAACTCCTCCTGTGTGTTTGTGTCCTAAATTTTCTTGGTACCAGACGACGAACCTCGGATATTTACCCCAGCCAACGAAGCCACTTTAGTTTGATACTGTTGTCAAAGTTTTGGGGAATTCGTCACTATCATGCATTGCTGGCGGGTGTGCAAGTTGTTAAACCCTATATAGGGTCAATTTGGAATAGATATAAAAGTTGCAAATGCATATTATATCTTTTGACTCACTAATCCCATTTCTAGGAGTTTATCTTACAGATATATTGAATGAAACATAGATATGAGATAACACATTAGGTATAGGTATGGGATTAGACATAGCATTTATAATAGTGAAAGATTAAAAATATATAAATGGGCTAGGCACAGTGGCTCACGCCTGTAATCCCAGCACTTTGGGAAGCCAAGGCAGGAGGATTGATTGAGGCCAGGAGTTCAAGACCAGCCTGGGCAAAATAATGAGACAGTGCCTCTACAAAAAAATTAAAAAATTAGCCAGGCGTGGTGGTACATGCCTGTAGTCCCAGCTACTTGGGAGTCTGAGGCAGGAGGACCTCTTGAGCCCAGAAGTTCAAGGCTGTAGTGTGCTGTAATCATGCCACTGCACTTCAGCCTGGGTGACAGAGTGAGACCTGTCTCAAAAGAAAAAGAAATAAAATAAATAAAAATAAACTTCTTTTGGGCCAGGCACGGTGGCTCACACCTGTAATCCCAGCACTTTGGGAGGCCAACGTAGGCGGATCACGAGGTCAGGAGATGGAGACCATCCTGGCTAACACAGTGAAACCCTGTCTCTACTAAAAATACAAAAAAATTAGCTGGGCGTGGTGGTGGGCGCCTGTAGTCCCTGCTACTAGGGAGGCTGAGACAGAAGAATGGCATGAACCCGGGAGGCTGAGTTTGCAGTGAGCCGAGATCACGTCACTGCACTCCAGCCTGGGCAATAGAGCAAGACTCCGTCTCAAAATAAATAAATAAATAAAAATCAATCAATCAATCAATCAATCAATCAATAAACAAACTTCATTTGATTTTGCTAGAGAAAAGATTGAACTATCTTTCTTTTTCCTCCATAAAAAAATGATATCATGGGCTGGGCACAGTGGCTTATGCCTGTAATCCCAGAACTTTGGGAGGCTGAGGCGGGCAGATCACTTGAGCCCAAGAGTTTGAGACCAGCCTGGGCAACATGAAAAAACCCCATCTCTACTAAAAATACAAAAAAATTAGCTGGGCGTGGTGGTGGGCGCCTGTAATCCCAGCTACTCTGGAGGCTGAGGCAGAAGAATCGCTTGAATCCGGGAGATAGAGGTTGCAGTGAACCGAGAGCGCGCCACCGCACTCCAACCCGGGTGACAGAGTGAGACTCCGTCTCAAAAAAAAAAAAAAAAAAAAAAAAAATTCTAAAAATTAGACAGAGTGTGTGCCTGCAGTCCCAGCTACTCAGGAGGCTGAGGTGGGAAGATTGCTTGAGCCTGAGTGATTGAGGCTGCAGCGAGCTATGATTATGCCACTGGACTCCAGCCTGGGTGACACAGCAAGATCGTGTCTGAAAAAGAAAGAAGTATTACAAAATCATTGTTATATGAAATAACAATCAGAGTACGCAGTGCGAAAAGTAGGAGTTTGAGCTGTAGAGTGTCTGACAGAAAATAAAAAAACTTTAGGCCGGGCGCGGTGGCTCACGCCTGTAATCCAGCATTTTGGGAGGCCGAGACAGGCGGATCACGAGGTCAGGAGATCGAGACCATCCTGCTTAACACGGTGAAATCCCGTCTCTACTAAAAATACAAAAAAATTAGCCGGGCGTGGTGGCAGGCGCCTGTAGTCCCAGCTACTCGGGAGGTGGAGTCAGGAGAATGGCGTGAACCCGGGAGGCGGAGCTTGCAGTGAGCTGAGATCACGCCACTGCACTCCAGCCTGGGCGACAGAGCGAGACTCCGTCTCAAAAAAAAAAAAAAAAAAGAAAATAAAAAAACTTTAAAAAATTTTTTTAAAAAGGAAAAAAGAGAAAAGTAGTAGTTAATATTATAGAAGTGAGATGGGTAGTTACTAATAAAGATATCCTTCTAGATTGTGAGATGTTTGGATTTCTGTCAGGTTTTTGAAATTTGTAATTTCTTTTCACTTTCTAATTAAATATTTATTTCGTAACCATTTTTTTTTTTTTGAGATAGACTCTTGCTCTGTCACCAGGCTGGAATGCAGTGACGCGATCTCCTGTGTTCAAGCGATTCTCGTGTCTCAGCCTCCCGAGTAGCTAGGGTCACAGGCACACATCACCACACCCAGATAATTTATGTATTTTTAGTAGAGACGGGGTTTCACCATGATGGTCAGGATGGTCTCAATCTCCTGACCTCGTGATCCGCCTGCCTCGGCCTCACAAAGTGCTGGGATTGCAGGCATGAGCCACTGCACCTGGCCTGTATTCTTTTTTTTAAAGGGGACCCACCAAACTGTGTAAACTCCAAGTCCCACAAAACCTGGATCCACCCTGGCTTGGGCCAGCTGCAGAGGGACTTTGAGGAGACAGCAAAACTGTCCACTGGAGTTTTTAAATAAAACAAAACAAAAACAAAAACTGGTCTCTAGGTGACATATCCCTCCTTTCCCCCAAATCCTGTATGAAATCTTTAGCAAAATAGCTATTTTTTAACTTTAAAATTTAACAGAGAACCAGGTGGAAGAGACTTGGATTAACAGGAGCAATGTGAGAAATTCTGTGGGGGTAGAGGGAGGAGTGTATGTGTGGCCACAAGTTCCATAATAGGTATGGAGGTGACAATTGCCTTCTGTCTGCACTCCTCGGGCTGCACCTGGAAGATTCTGCCCCAGATAAGGAGGCAGGTTGTCAAAGGGACAGGGAAAGACTAGGGCAAACCCACAGGCACTCATCCAGAGTGACAGAGTTTGGAGTCAGAGCCCGGAGATTTCTTTCTCTCTCTCTTTCTTTCTTTCTTTCTTTCTTTCTTTCTTTCTTTCTTTCTTTCTTTCTTTCTTTCTTTCTTTTCTTTCTTTCTTTTTCTTTCCTTCTTTCTTTTTCTTCCTTCCTTCCTTCTTTCCTTCCTTCCTTTTCTTTTCTTTCCCTCCCTCCCTTTCTCTTTCTTTCTCTTTCTTTCTTCTTTTTCTTTTTCTTTCTTTCTCTTTTCTTTTGCCTCCCTCCCTCCCGCCCTCCCTTCCTCCCCTTTCCTTCCTCCCTTCCTCCCTTCTTTCCTTCCTTCCTCCCTTCCTTCCTCTTTCTGTCTCTTTTTTTTTTTTTTTTTTTTGATAGAGTCTCTATATTTCCCAGGCTGATCTTGAACTATTGGCTTCAAGGAATCCTCCTGCCTTGGCTTCCCAAAGTGCTGGGATTACAGGTTTGAACCACATGCCTAGCCAAGATCTTGGAGAAGTGTCTCAAGAAACTACAGATGGTCTTTGACTTACTATTTTTCTTTTTCTTTTTTTTTTTTTGAGATGGAGTTTCACTCTTGTTGCCCAGGCTGGAGTGCAATGGCACGATCTCAGCTCACCGCAACCTCTGCCTCCCCGGTTCAAGTGATTCTCCTGCCTCAGCCTCCCGAGTAGCTGGGATTACAGGCATGCACTACCACGCCTAGCTAATTTTGTATTTTTAGTAGAGACGGGGTTTCTCCATGTTGGTCAGGCTGGTCTTGAATTCCCGACCTCATGTGATCTGCCCACCTCAGCCTCCCAAAGTGCTGTGATTACAGGTGTGAGCAACTGTGCCTGGCTAATATTTAATTTTTAATTATTATAGATACTTGCTAGTTGTATTAAATATATTTTCAATTTATAATACTTTCAATTTAGGACGGACATATTGGGATGTAACTCCATCCCCCATAAGTCAAAGAGCATCTGTAGTGATGTTGTACTGCTGAGACTCCAAATGGAGGGGTAGGAGGGGGTGGGCACTGTTGTTAGAAGAGACAGCGGACCTCTGCCTACTTAGAAAAGACAATGCTGGGCCTGGCTCAGTGGCTCATGCCTGTAATCCCAGGACTTTGGATGGTCAAGGTGAGCAAATCGCTTGAGCCCAGTAGTTGGAGACCAGCCTGGCCAACATGGCAAAACCCTATCTCTACAAAAAACACAAAAATTAGCCAGGTGTGGTGGTGTGGGCCTGTAGTTTCAACTACTTGGGAGGCTGAGGTGGGAGGATCACTTGAGCCCAGGAAGTGGAGGTTGCAGTGAGCCAAGAAGTCATCCCTGCACTCCAGCCACTGCACTCCCACCTAAGTGACAGAAGGAAACCCTGTCTCAAAAAAAAAAAAAAAAAAAAAGCCAGTGCTATGCAGGGCAGGTGGGCCCCACTTAGCCTGGGAGGGTTCTTGGTCTCCCCCAGGAAAGAATTCAATAGTGAGCCAGCGGTGTTAAACTGCAACTTTTAATTGAAGCAGCAGGGTACAGCAGCAGCACAGGTGCTGCTCCCTGGGGAGCACAGCTACCCCATCGGCAGTGTACCCAGAGTAGCAGCTCAAAGGCCATTTGCAGTCATTTTTATTTTATTTTATTTTATTTTATTTTTTCGAGACAGAGTCTCGCTGTCTCTCCAGGCTGGAGTGCAGTGGCGCGATCTCAGCTCACTGCAAGCTCCGCCTCCCGGGTTCATGCCATTCTCCTGCCTCAGCCTCACGAGTAGCTGGGACTATAGCCACCCGCCACCATGCCTGGCTAATTTTTTGTATTTTTAGTAGAGACGGGGCTTCACCATGTTAGTCAGGATGGTCTCGATCTCCTGACCTCATGATCCACCCACCTTGGCCTCCCAAAGTGCTGGGATTACAGGCGTCAGCCACCATGCCCAGCCTGCAGTCATATTTATAACTCACTTTTTTTGTTGTTGTTGTTGTTTTTGTTTTTTGAGATGGAGTCTTGCTCTGTCACCTAGGCTGGAGTGCAGTGATGAGATCTCAGCTCACTGCCTCCTGGGTTCAAGCGATTCTCCTGACTCAGCCTCTGGAGTAGCTGGGATTACAGGCGTGCAGCACCACTCCTGGGTAATTTTTATATTTTTCGTAGAGATGGGGTTTTACCATGTTGGCCAGGCTGGTCTGGAACTCCTGACCTCAAGTGATCCGCCCGTCTCGGCCTCCCAAAGTGCCGGGATTACAGGCGTGAGCCAACTCGCCCAGCCTATAACTCACTTTTAATTACATGCAAATTAAGAAGCGGGCTATGCAGAAATTTCTAGGAAAAGGTTGGTAATTTCCAGGTCATCAGGTTGTTGCAATGGAAAGGGGCGGAAACATCCCAGTGTTGCCATGGCAATGGTGAACTGACAGGGCACACTGTTGGGCATGTCATGGAAAGCTGCTTCTCTTCCGTCCCTGTTTTAGCTAGTCGTCAACTTGGTCCTATTTCTGAGCCCCACCTCCTGAGTTGAGTCTTGCCCCCTACCTCTCTAGGACCATTGGAAGAGGTGGGGAGCTGGAATGGCTTTTCTATAAATATGAAAGGCATTTATATTAAATACCTAACATAGGCCAGGCGTGGTGGCTCACACCTGTAATCCCAGCACTTTGGGAGGCCAAGGCGGGTGGATCACTTGAGGTCAGGAGTTTGAGACCAGCAAGACCAGCCTGACCAACATGGAGAAACCACGTCTCTACTAAAAGTACAAAATTAGCTGGGCGTGGTGGCGCATGCCTGTAATCCCAGCTACTCAGGAGGCCGAGGCAGGAGAATCGCTTGAACACGGGAGGTGGAGGTTGTGGTGAGCCGACATCGCGCCATTGCACTCTAGCCTGGGCAACGAGTGAAACTCCATCTCAAAAAAAACAAATAAATAAATAAAAATAAAAAATAAAATAAATAAATAAATAAATACCTAACATCAAACAATTTATAATTGACATTGGAATGATGTTCATCAGATTTTTTTACATTTTATTTTTATTTTTTATTTTTTTGAGACAGTGTCTCACTCTGTAGCCCAGGCTGGAGTGTGGTGGCAGGATCTCAGCTCACTGCAACCTCTGCTTCCCGGGCTCAAGCAATCCTCCAACCCCAAACTCCCTGGTAGCTGGGACTACAGGCACGTGCCACCACGCCAGGCTAAATTTTTTTTTTTTTTTTGAGATGGAGCTTCACTCTTGTTGCCCAGGCTGGAGTGCAATGGCGCAATCTTGGCTCACTGAAACCTCCAGTTCCTGGGTTCAAGCAATTCTCCTGTCTCAGCCTCCCGAGTAGCTGGGATTACAGGTGCCCGCCACCACGCCTGGCTAATTTTTGTATTTTTATTAGAGACAGGGTTTTGCCATGTTGGCCATGCTGGTCTCGAACTTTTGACCTCAGGTGATCTGCCCACCTTGGCCTCCCAAAGTGCTGGGATTACAAGGGTGAGCCACCGTGCCTGGCCTTATTCTTATTTTTTTAATTTTTAAAAAATGTGGGTACGGCCAGGTGTGGTGGCGCCCACCTGTAATCCCAGCTACTTGGGAGGCTGAAGCAGAAGAATTGCTTGAATCCCGGAGGTGGAGGTTGTAGTGATCTGAGATCACACCATTGCACTCCATCCTGGGCCACAGAGCAAGACTGTCTCAAAAAAAAAAAAAAAAAAAAATTCAGGGTCTTGCTGTATTGCCCGAGCTGGAGTGCAGTGGTTATTCATAGGCTGGATCCCATTACTGATTAGCATGGAAATGTTGACCTACTCTGTTTTCGATGTGGGCCAGTTTACCCCTTATAAGGCAACCTGGTGGTCTCCTTCTCCCAGGAAATCACCAGATTTATGCCCAATGTGGTGGGGACACCTGATTGCATAGTGCACTACAGCCCAGAACTTCGGCCCTCAAGTGATCCTCCTGCCTCCTCTCCCCAAGTAGCTGGGCCTACAGGCATGTACTACCACGCCTGGCCAAATATTAACAAATACTATATTTATAATTGTAGAGATAGGGTCTTGCTATGTTGCTTAGGCTCGTCTCAAACTCCTGGGCTTCAAGTGATCCTCCTGCCTTGGCCTCCCAACAAGCTGGGATTATAGATGTAAGCCACCATGCACTGCCAATAATGACTATTTTGATGTCAGAATCTTAGGTGATTTTTTTTTTTTGTAAGTCTGCGTCTCACTCTGTACTCAGGCTGGAGTGCAGTGGCACCATCATGGCTCACTGTAACCTTGAACTCCTGGGTTCAAGGGATCCTCCTGCCTCAGCCTATTGAATAGCTAGGACTACAGGCATGTGCCACCACACCTGGCTAATTTTTTTTTTCTTTTGTAGAGATGAGGTCTTGTTATATTGCCCAGGTTGGTCTTGAACTCCTGTCCTCAATTGATCCTCTTGCCTGGGCCTTCAAAGTGTTGAGATTATGGGTGTGAGCCACTATGCCTGGCCTCTTAGGTGATTTTTTATTTCTTCTCTGTAATTCTTTTTCTAAGTGTATGTTATTTCTAGAAATAATAAGGTCATTAATCTTTTTTTTTTTTTTTTTTGAGACAGGGTCTTGCTCTGTTGCATAGGCTGGAGTGCACTGGCACAATCTAGGCTCACTGGAACCTCTGCCTCCAGGGTTCAAGTGATTCTCCTGCCTCAGCCTCCCGAGTAGCTGGGACTACAGGCTCGTGCCACCATGCCTGGCTAATTTTTGTATTCTTAGTAGAGACGGGGTTTTGCCATGTTGGCCAGGCTGGTCTCGAGCTCTTGATCTCGTGATCCACTGACCTCGGCCTCCCAAAGTGCTAGGATTACAGGTGAGAGCCACCTCACCCTGCCCAAGGTCATTAATCTTAAAAAAAAAAAAAAAAAAAAAAAAAAAAAAAAAAAGGCTGGGCCTGGTGGCTCACGCCTGTAATCCCAGCACTTTGGGAGGCCACGGCAGGCAGATCACGAGGTCAAGAGTTTGAGACCAGCCTGGCCATCATGACGAAACCCCGTCTCTACTAAGAATACAAAAATTAGTCAGGTGTGGTGACATGAGCCTATAGCCCCAGCTACTCAG
The DNA here is from genome assembly GCF_000001405.40 of Homo sapiens. Lineage (NCBI taxonomy): Eukaryota > Metazoa > Chordata > Mammalia > Primates > Hominidae > Homo > Homo sapiens. Next base: position 19,713 of record NW_003315905.1, on the reverse strand, counting down.
GAGGCTGAGGCAGGAGAATTGCTTACCGGGAGGCGGAGGTTGCAGTAAGCCGAGACTGTGCCACTGCACTCCAGCCTGGGCAACAGAGCGAGACTCCATCTCAAACAAACAAAAAAACAAAAAAAAACTCGACCAGGCGCAGTGGCTCACACCTGTAATCCCAGCACTTTCGGAGGCTGAGGTGGGCAGATTACCTGAGGTCAGGAGTTTAAGACCACCCTGACCAACGTGGCAAAACCCCGTCTCTACTAAAAATACAAAAAATTTAGCCAGGCGCGGTGGTGTGCCTGTAATCCAAGCTGCTCAGGAACCTGAGGCAAGAGAATCGCTTGAACTCGGGAGTCGGAGGTTGCAGTGAGCTGAGATCATGCCACTGCACTCCAGCCTGGGTGACAGAGTGAGACTCTTGTCTCAAAAAAACAAAGAAACAGGCCGGGCTCAGTGGCTTATGCCTGTAATCCCAGCACTTTGGGAGGCCGAGGTGGGTGGATCACCTGAGGTCAGAAGTTCAAGGTCAGCCTGACCAACATAGTGAAACCCCGTCTCTACTAAAAATACAAAATTAGCTGGGTGCGTTGGTGAGTGCCTGTAGTCCCAGCTACTCGAGGGGCTGAGGCAGGAGAATTGCTTGAACTTGGGAGGCGGAGGTCACAGTGAGCCAAGATCTTACCACTGCACTCCAGCCTGGGTGACAGAGCAAACCCTGTCTCAAACAAACAGACAAATGAAACCCAAAGAAACAAACAAAAAGCAAAAAAAGATGCACCTTCCTTAGATGGCAGTTTCAGGGTCAAGCCCCCTTTTCCATAAATAAAATGAGTTTCTGTTCCCTCAAAAGGAATTGTGATGATTGAAACATTTCCATCTTCTTCTTCTTCTTTTTTTTTCTTTGTTTTTTTAGATGGAGTCTCACTCTGTCACCCAGCCCAGAGTGCAGTGGCACCATCTTGGCTCACTGCAACCTCTGCCTCCCGGTTTCAAGCAATCCTTGTGCCTCAGCCTCCTGAGTAGCTGCGATTACAGGCGCCAGCCATCATGCCCGGCTAATCTTCCTGTACTTTTAGTAGAGACAGGGTTTCACCATGTTGGTCAGGCTGGTCTCGAACTCCTGACCTTGTAATCTGCCCACCCTGGCCTCCCAAAGTGTTGGGATTACAGTCGTGAGCCACCGCGCCTAACCATTTTTTTTTTTTTGAGACAGAGTCTCACTCCGTCGCCCAGGCTGGAGTGCACTGGCGCAGTCTCAGCTCACTACAACCTCCACCTCCTGGGTTCACGCCATTCTCCTGCCTCAGCCTCCCGAGTAGCTGGGACTACAGGCACCCGCCACCATGCCCGGCTAGTTTTTTGTATTTTTAGTAGAGACAGGGTTTCACCGTGTTAGCCAGGATGGTCTCAATCTCCTGACCTCATGATCTGCCCGCCTCGGCCTCCCAAAGTGCTGGGATTACAGGCGTGAGCCACCGCGCCCGGCCTTTTTTTTTTTTTTTTGAGGAGTTTCGCTCTTGTTGCCCGGGCTGTAGTGCAATGATGCAATCTTGGCTCACCGCAACCTCTGCCTCCCGAGTTCAAGTGATTCTCCTGCCTCAGCCTCCTGAGTTGCTGGGATTACAGGCATGCGCCACCATGCCCAGCTAATTTTTGTATTTTTAGTAGAGACGGGGTTTCACCATGTTGGTCAGGCTGGTCTTGAACTCCTAACCTCAAGAGATCCACCCGCCTCGGCCTTCCAAAGTGCTGGGATTACAGGTGTGAGCCACCGTGCCCAGCTGAAGATCACAGATATTTTTAAAAGGATTTCAGACCTGGATAAGCAGTTAGATTGCATAATCTGTACTTTTTCTTTTTCTTTCTTTTTTTTTTTTGAGACAGAGTTGCCCTCTTGTTGCCCAGGCTGGAGTGCAATGGTGCCATCTCGGCTCATCGGAACCTCCGCTTCCTGGGTTCAAATGATTCTCCTGCCTCAGCCTCCCCAGTAGCTGGGATTACAGGCATGTGCCACCACGCCTGGCTAATTTTTTTTTTTTTTTTGTATTTTTAGTAGAGATGGGGTTTCTCCATGTTGGTCAGGCTGGTCTCGAATTCCCGACCTCAGGTGATCTGCCTACCTCAGCCTCCTAATGTGCTGGGATTACAGGCATGAGCCATCGCGCCCGGCCTAATCTGCACTTTTTCTAATACAAAGATTTTTAGATCTTACTAGTATCTCTCATTAAGGAGTTCAATCAGGTGCTGCATTTCACTTCCCACTATTCTTCAGATGTAAGCAACTCCTTAAATCTAGCATTATGGGCCAGGTGCGTTGGCTCACACCTGTAATCCCAGTACTTCGGGAGGCCAAGTTGCGCAGATCACTTGAGCCCAGGAGTCGGCACCATTGTGAAACCCCATCTCTACAAAAAATACAAAAATTAGCCTGGCATGGTGGTACATGCCTTTAGTCCCAGCTACTTGGGAGGCTGAGGTGGGAGAATGTGATGTCGAGGCTGCAGTGAGCCATGATCATACCACTGCACTCCAGCCTGGGTGACAGAACAAGACCGTGTCTCAGAAAAAAAAAACAAAAAACAAAACAGTTGGTGTTGTGCAGGATCTGGATTTTATGGAAAACTGAAGAGTTGGAGTCTCACTCTGTTGCCCAGGCTGGTGTTTAGTGCTGCAATCATAGATCACTGCAGCCTTGAACTCTTGGGCTGAAGTGATCCTGCCTTAGCCTCCCAAGTAGCTAGAACTATAGGCGAAAAAAAAGAAAAAAGAAAAGAATTACATAACAAGTTATAACTTTGTTTAAGGTGCTTTTCCTTGGCATCATGTCTTTTTTTTTCTTTTGAGACAGAGTTTCATTCTGTTGCCAAGGTTGGCATCTTGTCTTAACTGGGCTTTTACCCACTCTTCCTCGGTTTGGGCAAATGATGGTACAATATGTGGGCCTGGTTTAAGCTCTGTGCCTTTGAGATCTAAATTTTCTACCTTGTTTTACCTAAGATTCATCCCTTTAGACATGCAAATTTAGGACTGCCTAGCTAACTGTTGCTTAGGGTAATAAAACAGGTAATTAGAAGATTGATAGTCTGAATGGCAAGAAGAAAAACTATTTATTTATTTATTTTATTTTTGTTATTTTTTGAGATGGAGTCTTGCTCTGTCGCCCAGGCTGGAGTGCAATGGCGTAATCTTGGCTCACTGCAATCTCCGCCTCCTGGGTTCAGGCGAACTCCGCCTCCTGCTTCAGCCACCTGAGTAGCTAGGACTATAGGTTTGCACCATCATGCCCGGCTAATTTTTGTATTTTTAGTAGAGATGGGGTTTCACTGTGGTGGCCAGGCTGGTCTTGAACTCCTGACCTCAAATGATCCGCCTGCCTCAGCCTCCCAAAGTGCTGGGATTACAGGCATGAGCCACTGTCCCCAGTCTATTTTTGTTTTTTGTTTTATGTTTTTTGTTGTTGAGGCAGTACCTCACTATGTTGTCCAGAATGGTCTCAAAGTCCTGGGCTTAAATGCTATCACCTCAGTCTCCTGTGTAGCTGGGATTACAGGCATGCACCATCACACATGGCAAAAAAAACTATTTGAAAGCCAGCTAATTATAGTTTTTTATGAAAGCTATAAGATGTACTTCTGTTTGTGTGTCTATATACCTATATGTGCTATGTGTATGTGACAATTTTTGATAAATAAAACTAGCTTTAAATTTGTTAGTAAAATAAAGGCCGTGTGTGGTGTCTCGTGCCTGTAATCCTGTAATCCCAGTACTTTTGGAAGCTGAGGCAGGAGGATCACTTGAGTCCGGGTGTTTAAGACCAGCCTGGGCAACATAGTGAGATTTCTTTTTTTTTGAGATGGAGTTTCACTCTTGTTGCCCAGGCTGGAGTGCAATGGTGTGATCTCGGCTCACCGCAACCTCTGCCTCATGGGTTCAAGCAATTCTCCTGCCTCAGCCTCCCGAGTAGCTGGGATTACAGGCATGCACCACCACACTCGGCTAATTTTGTATTTTTAGTAGAGACAGGGTTTCTCTATGTTGTTCAGGCTGGTCTTGAACTCCCGACCTCAAGTGATCCGCTTGCCTCAGCCTCCCAAAGTGGTGGGATTATAGGCGTGAGCCATTGTGCCCGGCCAAAATAAAATAAAATAAAATAAAATAAAATAAATTCTTATGTCATATTATGTTAAATTAAGTAACAGATAATCACGAAATGTCTGAGTCATTTCTAAATAAGTTAAAATACTGAAACATTAATTATTAAACATAAGTTTTATACTGTGGCATCTTATTTATATACAATATAGAAAACCTAAATATATTTAGATAGATCTTTTAATAAACAAAAATTGGGCTGATTGTGGTGACTCACGCCTGTAATTTTGCGAGGCTAACGCAAGTGAATAACTGGAGCCCAGGAGTTCAACCAGCCTGGGCAACATGGTGCAACCTTTATCACTACAATAAAACTAAAAAAAATTAGCCAGGCATGGTGGTGCATGTCTCTAGTCCCAGCTACTCTGGAGGCTGAGGTGGGAGAGTCATTTGAGCCTGGGAGGTCGAGGCTGCAGTGAGCTATGATTGTGCCACTGCACTCCAGCTTGGGTGACAGAGCAAAACCCTATCTCTTAAAAAAAAATTACTTACTTCCTAGGTTTTCACTAGAAATTAGGATTACTAAGAATTAAAATTATAGTTAGTAGAGGCTGGGCACGATAGCTCACGCCTGTAATCCCAGCACTTTGAGAGGCCGAGGTGGGCAGATCACAAGGTCAGGAGATCGAGACCATCCTGGCCAACAAAGGTGAAACCTCATCTCTACTAAAAATACAAAAATTAGCTGGGCGTGGTGGTGCATGCCTGCAATCCCAGCTACTCGGGAGGCTGAGGCAGGAGAACCGCTTGAACCTGGGAGGTGGTGGTTGCAGTGAGCCAAGATTGCTCCACTGAACTTCAGCCTGGTGACAGAGCTAGACTCCATCTTAAAAAAAAAAAAATTATAGTTAGTATATGTAATTAAAACTACTAGATATGGCCAGGTGTGGTGGCTCATGCCTGTAATCCCAGCACTTTGGCAGGCCGAGGTTGCAGTGAGCCGAGATGGCGCCACTGCACTCCAGCCTGGGTGACAGAGACTCCATCTCAAAATAGACAAACAAACAAACAAAAAACCTACTAGATATAAAAGAAACAATTCTGTATACAAAGTGTATAAATAAAAGCAAGATATATTTTTGGCAAGGAAAGTTGTAAAAGCATGTAAAAGTATTGAGAAAAAATAATTGTGTCTATTTTACAAGTTACTTAAAGTTTGTTTCAATTGGAAGGAATAAAAATATAGATAAAACTAAATGGATACAGAAGTTGGGAAGAGAAAGGGAATAGAAAAAGATTCTGTGGGGAACTGGCTGGGTTGAAAATCATGGCATGGGTACCAGCAGAGTCTGCAGTGGAAGAGGAGTTGATGCCTGGCCCTCTGCCACCAGACAGAAGGTTTCAATCCCTCGTTATCCCAGAGGATGCCTCAGGAATACCTGAGGAAGGTCCATACCAAAGCAGCTCAATGTCCAGATGCTGTGGTACCTCAAACTGACCCAAATAAGTTGAAAAGGAAGGACGGGCACGGTGGCTCACGCCTGTAATCCCAACACTTTGGGAGGCTGAAGCAGGTGGATCACCTGAGGTGAGGAGTTCAAAACCAGCCTAGGCAACATAGTGAAACCCCATATCTACTAAGAATACAATAATTAGCTGGGCGTGGTGGCAGGAGCCTGTGATCCCAGCTACTCGGGAGGCTGAGGCAGGAGAATCACTTGAACCCAGGAGGCGGAGGTTGCAGTGAGCTGAGATCACACCACTGCACTCCAGCCTGGGCGACAAGAGCAAAACTCCATCTCAAAAAAAAATGAAGTTGAAAAGGAAGCAAGGTGTGAAGGTTTCTCTTTTAGGATGCCAACCTGCCCCTGAAGGTTATTCCCCAATACTTCAGTGGCAATAGAAAGTGGCACCGTTTTCAACGTAAGACAGAATGTGCACAAACATAGAAGTCACTGCAAATCACGACAGTTGGATAGTAATGTGACTATGCCAAAATCTAAAGATGAAGAAGGCTAGAAGAAATTTTGTCTGAGTGAAAGTTTATATGCTGGTGTGGTCACTGACAGCTACAAATGAAAGTCCTAGAATTAATTATGTTCAAATTGGTTTTCCTCCCTTGGTTAGTATTGCTAGCAGAATGAATCAGACAACAGTAGCTACTGTCTTGGAATATCTGAGTAATTGGTTTGGAGAAAGAGACTTTACTTTGGATTTGAGAAGATGGCTTTATGTCTTATTGGCTTGCCTTGAAAAACCTTTATTACATGAGGTTCATTCACTGATTCAGCAGCTTGCAAGAAGGTGCTCTGAAGTGTGAGGCTCTTAGTGGATAGCAAAGATGATGAGAGGGTTCCTGCTTTGAATTTATGTATGTATTTATTTATTTATTTTATTTTTTTGAGACGGAGTTTCGCTCTTGTTGCCCAGGCTGGAGTGCAATGGCGCAATCTTGGCACACCACAATCTCCGCCTTCTGGGTTCAAGTGATTCTCTTGCCTCAGCCTCCCGAGTAGCTGGGATTATAGGCAAGTACCACCACCCCTGGTTAATTTTTGAATTTTTAATAGAGATGGGGTTTCACCATGTTGACCAGGCTGGTCTCAAACTCCTGACCTTAGGTGATCCACCCACCTCGGCCTCCCAAAGTGCTGGGATTACAGGCGTGAGCCACCATGCCCAGCCACCCCAACTCTTTCTTTTTTTTTTTTTGAGACGGAGTCTCTCTCTGTTACCCAGGCTGGAGTGCAGTGGTGTGATCTCGGCTCACTGCAACCTCCACCTCCCGGGTTCAAGCGATTCTCCTGCCTCAGCTTCCCGGTAGCTGGGATTACAAGCACTTGCCACCACGCCCAGCTAATTTTTGTACTTTTAGTAGAGATGGGGTTTCACCATGTTGGCCAGGCTGGTCTCAAACTCCTGACCTTGTGATCTGCCCACCTCGGCCTCCCGAAGTGTTGGGATTATAGGCGTGAGCCACTGCACCTGGCCACCCCAACTCTTAAACAAAAAAAATTTGGCCAGGCTGATCTCGAACTCCTGGCCTCAGGTGATGTGCCCTCCTTGGCCTCTCAAATTGCTGGGATTACAGGCATGAGCCACCATGTCTGGCCCACACTTTTAAAATTTCAAAAAGCAACCTATGAGATATCACTAAACACTTTCTAGAAGAGCTACAATTGAAAAGACTGACAGTACTAAGTGTTGGCGAGTATGTGTATGAGTCACTGAGCCTGGACTTTTTTTTTTTTTTTTAGATAGAGTCTCCCTCTGTCGTCCAGGCTGGAGTGCAGTGGCATGATCTCAGCTCACGGCAACCCCCGCCTCCCAGGTAAAAGTGACTCTCCTACCACAGCCTCCTGAGTAGCTGGGACTACAGGTGTGTGCCACCACACCCAGCTAATTTTGTATTTTTAGTAGAGATAGGGTTTGACCATGTTGGCCAGGCTGGCCTCTAACTCCTGACCTTGTGATCCACCTGCAGAGGATCAAAGCACGTTTAAGGCCACAGCATGTCAAAGCACCAGTCTTTGGGGTATTACTTTTTGAACCCCAACAGTACGTTGGTAAATTGTTGAGCAGTATCTACCAAAGCCAAACAATTGCCTATCCCATGATACAGCATTTATAAGTATATAGCTGAGAGAAATGAGTACCTGTGGCTACTAAAAAGCATGTATAAGAATGGCTGGGTGTGGTGGTTCCTACCTGTAATCCCAGCACTTTGGGAGGCTGAGGCGGGAGGATTGCTTGAGGCCAGGAGTTTGAGACCAGTCTGGACAACATAGTTTAACTGCCTTTGCAAAGATTATGCCCGTTTAGAGAAATCTAGCATGGCTGACTCTATCTTGCTTCTAGCATCACAGGCTAGCTATCTTCTCTTATTCCTAGGCATAGGCCAAGCTACCCATAGGAGGAATTTAGTGCATAGCTTAATTTAAAAGCAAGGATGATAATAGTGCCTTCCTAAAACTAACCCGCTTCTTGCTCAGGGAGTGAAAACTGCCTTATAAGACTAATGAAAGTCCACAGGATTAGGATTATGGGAGGGACGTGAATTCTACTAAAATATAGACATAGTTTCTATAATCCCTTACTGCTCAGGAGTCATGTGGCCGGTGGTCTCAAGATTTGTGACTTCCCCAATTGCTCCTATAGATAACATCAGTATTGTAGAACCTAAGATTGGTCTTTTAAAATGTTTTTCAGGGTGGGTGAGGTGGCTCACGCCTGTAATTCCAACACTTTAGGAGGCTTAGGTGGGCAGATCACCTGAGGTCGGGAGTTCGAGACCAGCCTGGCCTACATGGTGAAACCCCATCTCTACTAAAAATACAAAAATTAGCTGAGTGTGGTGGTGCATGCCTGTAATCCCAGCTCCTCAGGAGGCTGAAACAGAAGAATCATTTGAACCTGGGAGGCGGAGGTTGTAGTGAGCTGAGATCGCACCACTGTACTTCAGCCTGGGCCACAAGAGCAAGACTCTGTCTCAAAAAAAAAAAGAAAAAAGAAAAAGAAAAAAGTCAGACTTCTATCAGGGTGGTGCAAAAGAAATGGTCAAAACTGCAATTACTCTTGCACCAACCTAATACATTCTGGCAACTTACTGACCTTACCCAGACTTGTGCTCATGATATAACCAAATGGTCTTGTGCCCGCCCCCCGCCACCCAGAGGCCGACTCAGCACACAAGGACATTTTTCCACACCCCTATCATTATATCCCCAACAAAACAGCAGCACGCATTCCCTAGTTCTCTGCCCACCAAACTATCTTTGAAAAACCCTAACTTTGATGATCACTTGAGGCCAGGAGTTTGAGACCAGCCTAACCAACATGGCAAAACCCCATCTTTACTAAAAACACAAAAAATTAATCGGGCTTAGTGGCATGAGCTTCTAGTCCCAGTTACTCAGTATGCTGAGGCATGAGAATTGCTTAAACCGGGGAGGTGGAGGTTGCAGTGAGCCGAGATTGCTTCGCTGCAGTCCAGCCTGAGTGACATAAAGAGTCTCAAAAAGAAAAAAAGAAAGAGAGAGAAAGAAAGAAAGAAGAAAGAAAGAAAAGAAAAGAAAGAAAGAGAAAAAGAGAGACAGAAAAAAGGAAGGGAAGGGAGAAAGAAAAAAGGAAGGGAAGGGAGAAAGAAAGAAAGAGAGAAAGAGAAAGGAAGGAAAGGAGGGAGGGAGGGAGGGAGCCGGGCATGGTGGCTCACGCCTGTAATCCCAGCACTTTGGGAGGCTGAGGCAGGCGGATCACCTGAAGTCCAGAGTTCAAGACCAGCCTGACAAACATGGTGAAACCCCATCTCTGCTAAAAGTACAAAAATTAGCCAGGCGTGGTGGCTAACACCTGTAATCCCAGCTACTCAGGAGGCTGAGGCAGGAGAATCACTTGAACCTGGGAGGCGGAGGTTGCACTGAGTTGAGATTGCGCTATTGCACTCCAGCCTGGGCGACAAGAGTGAAACTCCATCAAAAAAAAAAAAAAAAAAAAAAAAGAAGAGAAAGAAAGAAAGGCCCTAACCTTCTAGCCTTCAGAGAGGCTGATTTGAGTGATAACTCTAGTTGTACTACACAGCTGGCCTTGCATTGATTGAACTCTTTATTGCAATAACAGGGTCTCAGTGGATTGGTTTCGTGTGTTCAGTGGCCAGAAGAACCAATTGGGGAATGACAATAGCCAGACACCATCTCTCTAAAAAACAAACAAACAAACAAACAAGTTATCTATGTCAATAAAAGTAAGAATAAGCCAGGCGCAGTGGCTCACCCCGTAATCCCAGCACTTTGGGAGGCCAAGGCGGGCAGATCACAAAGTCAAGAGATCGAGACAATCCTGGCCAACATGGTGAAACCCCATCTCTACTAAAAATACAAAAATTAGCTGGGCGTGGTGGCACACGCCTGTAGTCCCACCTACTCGGGAGGCAGAGGCAGGAGAATCACTTGAACCTGGAAGGCGGAGGTTGCAGTGAGCCGCGATCATGCCACTGCACTCCAGCCCGGTGGCAGAGCGAGACTCCATCGAAAAAAAAAAAGTAAGAATAATGATTACATCTAAGGGGTTGAAGGTCAGGGGAGGTATTGATTAGGAGGGACAGGAAAGAACCTCTGAGTTGTTGGGAACAATCCTATCTTTTTCTGGGTGATGGTTATATGAATGTATACACATGTAAAACTTTATTGAGCTGTACACTTTACTATATGTATTTTGTGTGTGTGTGTGTGTGTGTTTTGAGTTGGAGTCTCGCTCTGTTGCCCAGACTGGATTGCAGTGGCGTGATCTCGGCTAACTGCAACCTCTGCATCCCAGGTTCAAGCTATTCTCCTGCCTCAGCCTCACGAGTAGCTGAGATTACAGGTGTCCACCACTATGCCCAGCTAATTTTTTGTATTTTTAGTAGAGACGGGGTTCACCATGTTGGCCAGGCTGGTCTCGAACTCCTGACCTTGTAATTCGCCTGCCTCAGCCTCCCAAAGTGCTGGGATTACAGGCGTGAGCCACCGTGCCCAGCTTGTTGCTTTTTTTTTGTTTTTGTTTTTGTTTTTTTGAGGTGGAGTTTCACTCTTGTTGCCTAGGCTGGAGTGCAATGGTGTGATTTCGGCTCACTGTAACCTCTGCCTCCCAGGTACAAGTGATTTTCCTGTCTCAGCCTCCCAAGTAGCTCGGATTACAGGTATGTGCCATCACACCCAGCTAATTTTTGTATTTTTAGTAGAGATGGGGTTTCACCATGTTGGCCAGGCTAGTCTCGAACTCCTGACCTCAGATGATCCACCCACCTCAGCCTCCCAAAGTGCTGGGATTACAGGCGTGAGCCACTGCACCAGACTTACCTCAATTTTTTAAAATGGAGCAAATAAAGCTAAACTGAGGTACCACTTTTTATCTGTCAGGTTGACAAGAATCCCAGTTTTGATATAGGAGTTAAGAAGATGGCAGGGCGCAGTGACTCACGCCTGTAATCCCAGCACTTTGGGAGACCAAGGTGGGTGGATCATCTGAGGTCAGGAGTTTGAGACTAGCCTGGCCAACATGGTGAAACCCCATCTCTATTAAAAATACAAAAATTAGCCGGGCCTGGTGGCACGTGCCTGTAATCCCAGCTACCCGGGAGGTTGAGGCAGGAGAATCGCTGGAACCTGGGAGGCGGAGGCTGCAGTGAGCTGAGATTGTGCTACTGCACTCCAGCCTTGGCAACAGAGCAAGATTCTGTCTTAAAATTAAACAAACAAACAAAAAAAGAATCTACTTAGGCAGATAGGATATGGGAGTCCTTGGTAAGGTTCTCCTTTTATTTTTATTGATTGATTGATTGATTATTATTTTCAGATGGAGTTTCACTCTTGTTGCCCAGGCTGGAGTGCAATGGTGCGATCTCAGCTCACTGCAACCTCCGCCTCCTGGGTTCAAGCAATTTTCCTGTCTTAGCCTCCCGAGTAGCTGGGATTACAGGTGAATGCCACCACGCTCAGCTAATTTTTATATTTTTTTAATATGGACAGGGTTTCATCATATTGGTCAGGCTGGTCTCAAACTCCTGACCTCAGGTGATCTGCCCTCCTTGGCCTCCCAAAGTGCTGAGATTACAGGCATGAGTCACTGCACCTGGCCATTATTATTATTATTGAGATGGAATCTCTCTCTGTTGCCCAGGCTGGAGTGCAGTGGACAATCTGGGCTCACTGCAACCTCTGCCTCCGGATTCTCCTGCCTCAGCCTCCCGAGTAGCTGGGGTTACAGGCGTGCCCCACCAAGCCCAGCTAAGTTTTGTATTTTTAGTAGAGACGGGGTTTCACCATTTTGGTCAGGCTGGTCTTGAACTCCTGACCTCAAGTGATCCACCTGCCTTGGCCTCCCAAAGTGCTGGGATTACAGGCATGAGCCACCGCACCCGGCCTATTTATTTATTTATTTTCGAGACGGAGTCTTGCTCTGTCACCCAGGCTGGAGTGCAGTGGCAGGATCTCGGCTCACTGCAACCTCCGCCTCCTGGGTTCAAGTGATTCTCCTGCCTCAGCCTCCAGAGTAGCTGGGGTTACAGGCACGTGCCATCACACCCAGCTAATTTTTGTATTCTTAGTAGAGACGGGGTTTCACCATGTTGGCCAGGCTGGTCTCGAACTCTTGACCTCATGATGCACCTGCCTCGGCCTCCCAAAGTGCTGGGATTACCGGCATGAGCCACCAGGAGGTTCTCCTTTTAATGAAAAGCAACCCCAGATCATTTTCCTTTCTAACAAAGAGCAGCCTGTGAAATCGAGCTGCAGACATAGATGCCAACAGTTGTGCCAATCATGTTCAAAATGGCAGTTCCATCTTTCCTTCTCTTTGTCAGCCACAGTGTACAGTAAGGAGCAGATAATATGGCACCTGGCAAGGGGAGAGTTCATTTGCATAATAAGATTAGGGTGGGGTGGCCAGCCTTCCCCTCAAGCTATATAAACGTCACACCTGATTGAACCAATTTGATTTACCTACGTAAATCAGACATCGCCTTTCAAGCCTGCCTATAAAATCCGGCGAACTCTGCTGCCGGCCAGTCTTTTCCTTTGGGAAGCCCCTCTTTCTTGCCAGAGAGAAAGCTGTTCTCCTTTTTCTTTCTGCAACCTCCGCCTCCCGGGTTGCAAGTCCAAATAAAGCTAAACTGAGGTACCACGAAACTCCTCCTGTGTGTTTGTGTCCTAAATTTTCTTGGTACCAGACGACGAACCTCGGATATTTACCCCAGCCAACGAAGCCACTTTAGTTTGATACTGTTGTCAAAGTTTTGGGGAATTCGTCACTATCATGCATTGCTGGCGGGTGTGCAAGTTGTTAAACCCTATATAGGGTCAATTTGGAATAGATATAAAAGTTGCAAATGCATATTATATCTTTTGACTCACTAATCCCATTTCTAGGAGTTTATCTTACAGATATATTGAATGAAACATAGATATGAGATAACACATTAGGTATAGGTATGGGATTAGACATAGCATTTATAATAGTGAAAGATTAAAAATATATAAATGGGCTAGGCACAGTGGCTCACGCCTGTAATCCCAGCACTTTGGGAAGCCAAGGCAGGAGGATTGATTGAGGCCAGGAGTTCAAGACCAGCCTGGGCAAAATAATGAGACAGTGCCTCTACAAAAAAATTAAAAAATTAGCCAGGCGTGGTGGTACATGCCTGTAGTCCCAGCTACTTGGGAGTCTGAGGCAGGAGGACCTCTTGAGCCCAGAAGTTCAAGGCTGTAGTGTGCTGTAATCATGCCACTGCACTTCAGCCTGGGTGACAGAGTGAGACCTGTCTCAAAAGAAAAAGAAATAAAATAAATAAAAATAAACTTCTTTTGGGCCAGGCACGGTGGCTCACACCTGTAATCCCAGCACTTTGGGAGGCCAACGTAGGCGGATCACGAGGTCAGGAGATGGAGACCATCCTGGCTAACACAGTGAAACCCTGTCTCTACTAAAAATACAAAAAAATTAGCTGGGCGTGGTGGTGGGCGCCTGTAGTCCCTGCTACTAGGGAGGCTGAGACAGAAGAATGGCATGAACCCGGGAGGCTGAGTTTGCAGTGAGCCGAGATCACGTCACTGCACTCCAGCCTGGGCAATAGAGCAAGACTCCGTCTCAAAATAAATAAATAAATAAAAATCAATCAATCAATCAATCAATCAATCAATAAACAAACTTCATTTGATTTTGCTAGAGAAAAGATTGAACTATCTTTCTTTTTCCTCCATAAAAAAATGATATCATGGGCTGGGCACAGTGGCTTATGCCTGTAATCCCAGAACTTTGGGAGGCTGAGGCGGGCAGATCACTTGAGCCCAAGAGTTTGAGACCAGCCTGGGCAACATGAAAAAACCCCATCTCTACTAAAAATACAAAAAAATTAGCTGGGCGTGGTGGTGGGCGCCTGTAATCCCAGCTACTCTGGAGGCTGAGGCAGAAGAATCGCTTGAATCCGGGAGATAGAGGTTGCAGTGAACCGAGAGCGCGCCACCGCACTCCAACCCGGGTGACAGAGTGAGACTCCGTCTCAAAAAAAAAAAAAAAAAAAAAAAAATTCTAAAAATTAGACAGAGTGTGTGCCTGCAGTCCCAGCTACTCAGGAGGCTGAGGTGGGAAGATTGCTTGAGCCTGAGTGATTGAGGCTGCAGCGAGCTATGATTATGCCACTGGACTCCAGCCTGGGTGACACAGCAAGATCGTGTCTGAAAAAGAAAGAAGTATTACAAAATCATTGTTATATGAAATAACAATCAGAGTACGCAGTGCGAAAAGTAGGAGTTTGAGCTGTAGAGTGTCTGACAGAAAATAAAAAAACTTTAGGCCGGGCGCGGTGGCTCACGCCTGTAATCCAGCATTTTGGGAGGCCGAGACAGGCGGATCACGAGGTCAGGAGATCGAGACCATCCTGCTTAACACGGTGAAATCCCGTCTCTACTAAAAATACAAAAAAATTAGCCGGGCGTGGTGGCAGGCGCCTGTAGTCCCAGCTACTCGGGAGGTGGAGTCAGGAGAATGGCGTGAACCCGGGAGGCGGAGCTTGCAGTGAGCTGAGATCACGCCACTGCACTCCAGCCTGGGCGACAGAGCGAGACTCCGTCTCAAAAAAAAAAAAAAAAAGAAAATAAAAAAACTTTAAAAAATTTTTTTAAAAAGGAAAAAAGAGAAAAGTAGTAGTTAATATTATAGAAGTGAGATGGGTAGTTACTAATAAAGATATCCTTCTAGATTGTGAGATGTTTGGATTTCTGTCAGGTTTTTGAAATTTGTAATTTCTTTTCACTTTCTAATTAAATATTTATTTCGTAACCATTTTTTTTTTTTTGAGATAGACTCTTGCTCTGTCACCAGGCTGGAATGCAGTGACGCGATCTCCTGTGTTCAAGCGATTCTCGTGTCTCAGCCTCCCGAGTAGCTAGGGTCACAGGCACACATCACCACACCCAGATAATTTATGTATTTTTAGTAGAGACGGGGTTTCACCATGATGGTCAGGATGGTCTCAATCTCCTGACCTCGTGATCCGCCTGCCTCGGCCTCACAAAGTGCTGGGATTGCAGGCATGAGCCACTGCACCTGGCCTGTATTCTTTTTTTTAAAGGGGACCCACCAAACTGTGTAAACTCCAAGTCCCACAAAACCTGGATCCACCCTGGCTTGGGCCAGCTGCAGAGGGACTTTGAGGAGACAGCAAAACTGTCCACTGGAGTTTTTAAATAAAACAAAACAAAAACAAAAACTGGTCTCTAGGTGACATATCCCTCCTTTCCCCCAAATCCTGTATGAAATCTTTAGCAAAATAGCTATTTTTTAACTTTAAAATTTAACAGAGAACCAGGTGGAAGAGACTTGGATTAACAGGAGCAATGTGAGAAATTCTGTGGGGGTAGAGGGAGGAGTGTATGTGTGGCCACAAGTTCCATAATAGGTATGGAGGTGACAATTGCCTTCTGTCTGCACTCCTCGGGCTGCACCTGGAAGATTCTGCCCCAGATAAGGAGGCAGGTTGTCAAAGGGACAGGGAAAGACTAGGGCAAACCCACAGGCACTCATCCAGAGTGACAGAGTTTGGAGTCAGAGCCCGGAGATTTCTTTCTCTCTCTCTTTCTTTCTTTCTTTCTTTCTTTCTTTCTTTCTTTCTTTCTTTTCTTTCTTTCTTTTTCTTTCCTTCTTTCTTTTTCTTCCTTCCTTCCTTCTTTCCTTCCTTCCTTTTCTTTTCTTTCCCTCCCTCCCTTTCTCTTTCTTTCTCTTTCTTTCTTCTTTTTCTTTTTCTTTCTTTCTCTTTTCTTTTGCCTCCCTCCCTCCCGCCCTCCCTTCCTCCCCTTTCCTTCCTCCCTTCCTCCCTTCTTTCCTTCCTTCCTCCCTTCCTTCCTCTTTCTGTCTCTTTTTTTTTTTTTTTTTTTTGATAGAGTCTCTATATTTCCCAGGCTGATCTTGAACTATTGGCTTCAAGGAATCCTCCTGCCTTGGCTTCCCAAAGTGCTGGGATTACAGGTTTGAACCACATGCCTAGCCAAGATCTTGGAGAAGTGTCTCAAGAAACTACAGATGGTCTTTGACTTACTATTTTTCTTTTTCTTTTTTTTTTTTTGAGATGGAGTTTCACTCTTGTTGCCCAGGCTGGAGTGCAATGGCACGATCTCAGCTCACCGCAACCTCTGCCTCCCCGGTTCAAGTGATTCTCCTGCCTCAGCCTCCCGAGTAGCTGGGATTACAGGCATGCACTACCACGCCTAGCTAATTTTGTATTTTTAGTAGAGACGGGGTTTCTCCATGTTGGTCAGGCTGGTCTTGAATTCCCGACCTCATGTGATCTGCCCACCTCAGCCTCCCAAAGTGCTGTGATTACAGGTGTGAGCAACTGTGCCTGGCTAATATTTAATTTTTAATTATTATAGATACTTGCTAGTTGTATTAAATATATTTTCAATTTATAATACTTTCAATTTAGGACGGACATATTGGGATGTAACTCCATCCCCCATAAGTCAAAGAGCATCTGTAGTGATGTTGTACTGCTGAGACTCCAAATGGAGGGGTAGGAGGGGGTGGGCACTGTTGTTAGAAGAGACAGCGGACCTCTGCCTACTTAGAAAAGACAATGCTGGGCCTGGCTCAGTGGCTCATGCCTGTAATCCCAGGACTTTGGATGGTCAAGGTGAGCAAATCGCTTGAGCCCAGTAGTTGGAGACCAGCCTGGCCAACATGGCAAAACCCTATCTCTACAAAAAACACAAAAATTAGCCAGGTGTGGTGGTGTGGGCCTGTAGTTTCAACTACTTGGGAGGCTGAGGTGGGAGGATCACTTGAGCCCAGGAAGTGGAGGTTGCAGTGAGCCAAGAAGTCATCCCTGCACTCCAGCCACTGCACTCCCACCTAAGTGACAGAAGGAAACCCTGTCTCAAAAAAAAAAAAAAAAAAAAAGCCAGTGCTATGCAGGGCAGGTGGGCCCCACTTAGCCTGGGAGGGTTCTTGGTCTCCCCCAGGAAAGAATTCAATAGTGAGCCAGCGGTGTTAAACTGCAACTTTTAATTGAAGCAGCAGGGTACAGCAGCAGCACAGGTGCTGCTCCCTGGGGAGCACAGCTACCCCATCGGCAGTGTACCCAGAGTAGCAGCTCAAAGGCCATTTGCAGTCATTTTTATTTTATTTTATTTTATTTTATTTTTTCGAGACAGAGTCTCGCTGTCTCTCCAGGCTGGAGTGCAGTGGCGCGATCTCAGCTCACTGCAAGCTCCGCCTCCCGGGTTCATGCCATTCTCCTGCCTCAGCCTCACGAGTAGCTGGGACTATAGCCACCCGCCACCATGCCTGGCTAATTTTTTGTATTTTTAGTAGAGACGGGGCTTCACCATGTTAGTCAGGATGGTCTCGATCTCCTGACCTCATGATCCACCCACCTTGGCCTCCCAAAGTGCTGGGATTACAGGCGTCAGCCACCATGCCCAGCCTGCAGTCATATTTATAACTCACTTTTTTTGTTGTTGTTGTTGTTTTTGTTTTCTGAGATGGAGTCTTGCTCTGTCACCTAGGCTGGAGTGCAGTGATGAGATCTCAGCTCACTGCCTCCTGGGTTCAAGCGATTCTCCTGACTCAGCCTCTGGAGTAGCTGGGATTACAGGCGTGCAGCACCACTCCTGGGTAATTTTTATATTTTTCGTAGAGATGGGGTTTTACCATGTTGGCCAGGCTGGTCTGGAACTCCTGACCTCAAGTGATCCGCCCGTCTCGGCCTCCCAAAGTGCCGGGATTACAGGCGTGAGCCAACTCGCCCAGCCTATAACTCACTTTTAATTACATGCAAATTAAGAAGCGGGCTATGCAGAAATTTCTAGGAAAAGGTTGGTAATTTCCAGGTCATCAGGTTGTTGCAATGGAAAGGGGCGGAAACATCCCAGTGTTGCCATGGCAATGGTGAACTGACAGGGCACACTGTTGGGCATGTCATGGAAAGCTGCTTCTCTTCCGTCCCTGTTTTAGCTAGTCGTCAACTTGGTCCTATTTCTGAGCCCCACCTCCTGAGTTGAGTCTTGCCCCCTACCTCTCTAGGACCATTGGAAGAGGTGGGGAGCTGGAATGGCTTTTCTATAAATATGAAAGGCATTTATATTAAATACCTAACATAGGCCAGGCGTGGTGGCTCACACCTGTAATCCCAGCACTTTGGGAGGCCAAGGCGGGTGGATCACTTGAGGTCAGGGAGTTTGAGACCAGCAAGACCAGCCTGACCAACATGGAGAAACCACGTCTCTACTAAAAGTACAAAATTAGCTGGGCGTGGTGGCGCATGCCTGTAATCCCAGCTACTCAGGAGGCCGAGGCAGGAGAATCGCTTGAACACGGGAGGTGGAGGTTGTGGTGAGCCGACATCGCGCCATTGCACTCTAGCCTGGGCAACGAGTGAAACTCCATCTCAAAAAAAACAAATAAATAAATAAAAATAAAAAATAAAATAAATAAATAAATAAATACCTAACATCAAACAATTTATAATTGACATTGGAATGATGTTCATCAGATTTTTTTACATTTTATTTTTATTTTTTATTTTTTTGAGACAGTGTCTCACTCTGTAGCCCAGGCTGGAGTGTGGTGGCAGGATCTCAGCTCACTGCAACCTCTGCTTCCCGGGCTCAAGCAATCCTCCAACCCCAAACTCCCTGGTAGCTGGGACTACAGGCACGTGCCACCACGCCAGGCTAAATTTTTTTTTTTTTTTTGAGATGGAGCTTCACTCTTGTTGCCCAGGCTGGAGTGCAATGGCGCAATCTTGGCTCACTGAAACCTCCAGTTCCTGGGTTCAAGCAATTCTCCTGTCTCAGCCTCCCGAGTAGCTGGGATTACAGGTGCCCGCCACCACGCCTGGCTAATTTTTGTATTTTTATTAGAGACAGGGTTTTGCCATGTTGGCCATGCTGGTCTCGAACTTTTGACCTCAGGTGATCTGCCCACCTTGGCCTCCCAAAGTGCTGGGATTACAAGGGTGAGCCACCGTGCCTGGCCTTATTCTTATTTTTTTAATTTTTAAAAAATGTGGGTACGGCCAGGTGTGGTGGCGCCCACCTGTAATCCCAGCTACTTGGGAGGCTGAAGCAGAAGAATTGCTTGAATCCCGGAGGTGGAGGTTGTAGTGATCTGAGATCACACCATTGCACTCCATCCTGGGCCACAGAGCAAGACTGTCTCAAAAAAAAAAAAAAAAAAAAATTCAGGGTCTTGCTGTATTGCCCGAGCTGGAGTGCAGTGGTTATTCATAGGCTGGATCCCATTACTGATTAGCATGGAAATGTTGACCTACTCTGTTTTCGATGTGGGCCAGTTTACCCCTTATAAGGCAACCTGGTGGTCTCCTTCTCCCAGGAAATCACCAGATTTATGCCCAATGTGGTGGGGACACCTGATTGCATAGTGCACTACAGCCCAGAACTTCGGCCCTCAAGTGATCCTCCTGCCTCCTCTCCCCAAGTAGCTGGGCCTACAGGCATGTACTACCACGCCTGGCCAAATATTAACAAATACTATATTTATAATTGTAGAGATAGGGTCTTGCTATGTTGCTTAGGCTCGTCTCAAACTCCTGGGCTTCAAGTGATCCTCCTGCCTTGGCCTCCCAACAAGCTGGGATTATAG